>NC_000002.12:83223008-83528392 GCF_000001405.40 Homo sapiens
CCTGGTTTCTTACAACAACCAGCTGTATTGAGACTATATGCAGTTGCCATCCCTACCTAAAGTGGGCACACAATTTAAAAGAATGAAAATAATGTAACTTCAAAGCCATACAAAATACTCCATCATAGATGTGGACATGACCATGCAGATTCATCTTCTTTTTCTTCCATGGCTATATGAAGATTATACCAACAAAATTAAAAGGTATAAATCTGCCAAGATATGAAAAGAAGATAGAGGTCATCAATTGCTAAGAGATTCAACAAACTTTCACAACAAGACAGAATAAATTATGCGGTATTTGCTAAAGCAAGGGATACTGCATCTTTGATCATGTGACATGAAGAATCAGAAGGAATGGGTGGGGCACTCAGCCCAGCAGAAATCTGGGCAAACTTTCAAGTGCCAGATCCCAAGGAGATAAGCAGGAGACCTGGAGTTGAAAGGAGGGGGATTAATGGAATGTCTGAGTATGAAACAGTTGAACCTTAACCAATCCTTTTCTCGACCTGTGTAGGTTTCTGGACAAGTAAACCTCAGGTGAAATGTCCCACCCAGCAAGCTCTAGAGACGAGTGTCATCATTTAAGAGCTTCATGTGAAACACACACGCACTCACATATGCACATACAAGGACATACATTCTCATACACATCCAATTGTAAAACAAAATGACAGTTATTTTAAGAAATATGCAGAATAAAAATTAGAGATATACAACATAGATATGTATTGAAATATCACATTGTACCCCATAAATATAGACAATTACAATGTGTCAATTAAAAAATAAATTTAGAACCAAGTGTGGTGGTGTGCGCCTGTTGTCCCAGCTACTGGAGAGGCTGAGGCAGAAGGATCACTAGAGGTCAGGAGTCCCAGGCTGCAGTGAGCTATGATCATGCCACTATCTTTCAGCCTGGGTGACAGATCAAAACCCCATCTTAAAAAAAATAATTAATTAATTTTTAAAGTTTGTTATTAATCCCCCAAAATAACTTGTTCTGAAGGAAAAAATTATTTGAGGGAATTTTATTTTAAAGTGATTCTAATATATAGTTCAGAGAGAATTATGAAAATACCACATCCGTATGAAAAAAGTAAAATTATTTAAAAAGGAAGGGCTACTGGAAATTTAAACCATGATATCCAAAGTAAAGAAAGTCAGAAGAGTCAAAGAAAAGTTTATACATGAGCTACCAATATTTGGGAGCTATGGGAGAAGTGGAACCGGAGAATTCATTTTCTTAGTAGATAGTTTTTAGATATTATGCAAATGATTAAATAAACAGATAACATGTTGTTGACATTATAGCAATGAGAGTAATACCAAGAAAGACACCTGGAACTGAAAGTGTTTCTTTTCATTATAAGCCTTTTTGCACTATTCAATATTTTAAACAACAACAATGCATTGTTTTCATTTTAAAAACAAAAATCATGGGCAAAACATAACATTTTTTATAAATCTATATAGCATATCACACTTTAGGTTTTCAGATAAGACATAATTGATGTGATGATTAATCTCTGTATGAACTCGAATTAATATTGTTTCATGTTTCTGTTATTTTTAGTACCTCTGAATCATTGTCATGAATTAAAAATAATATGTCTAAACCAGGTAATAGAATTTGTATTCACAGGATGCCACAGAAAAAAATTATTATTATTAGAGTTGTTGAATACATCCTATTTCTTTCTTCCTACCAGCGTCGCTTTTAAAGCCACAGAATGATCTCTGTGTTATTGCAGCGATGTGTAGAGCTGAAAGAAAGGGGGACATTGTTAGTTCATGTATCCTCTGTCTCAGCAACAAGGCAGGGAAATGCTTTTCCACTACATACCATAGTGAAGTTAATGAAACATCACACAGCTATAAGGAAGTCCTGCTAAAAAAGAGAACATGTTTTGCAGTCAAAACAAAGGATAAATTTTTTATTCATTTTCACAAAGCAAAGAAGACAGCTGGCAAGAATTGTTCCCAATAAGCAAAGAAGACAGCTGCCAAATATTGTTCTCGTTGGCTGAGAGCTTCTACATCAAGCCTGAGCTTAAATTATTTTTTTCTCAGAAAATTGTATTTCTAAACAAATACTATATATTATTGGTTTTCTTCACCGGTTTGCTGTTATATTTTAAAATATACTGATGGGAGGCATTCTTGCACATCTAGCAGGTAGTCAAGAAAAAAAAGAGATAAAATACATGCTTAAAAGGCAATGACAGTAAGTTCATCTGAAATGTATTTTCAGTTTTTATTTTAAACATAATAATAAAAACCAGTGCTCTGTGGATATCCTTGCCCAGAGGTTTCTGTATGCAAAGAAACTGAACCAAAAAGCCTATAAGAAATACCATTAAGGTAAACAAAGCTATTAGATTTGTATCAAACTAAATACTATAAAATAGACTGTTTGAACATGGGAGAGGAAATGTGGGATTTTGTTATTGTGGTCCTCTTCAAGAATCAGATAAATTTCCAGGTGAATATGATCTTTTGAAGACCAGTCCCATAGTCTTCACACTCTGACATTGTAGAATTAAGAAAACAACTGGCAGAGGCTTCTTGAGGACCTATCTGATTGGATTTATTTTCTTATTCATTCATTTATTTATCTACTTTAACAAAAAATAGTTATATCAAGCATCCTCTATGCTAGGAGTTGTCCTAAGCAATGGAGAATAAGGAAAAGGGTGGATGTACTTAGTCCCCACTGACTGAGTGCTCTGCACTGCTTTTATCATGGGTGGGGAAGACAGAGGAAAAGAAGTATGCAGGTCCTTGAGCTTCCCGTTCAATTGGCAGTCCAGACAGATTCACTATGGCCAGTTAGTGTTGAGTGAACTCATATCAACAAATGCTTGTTTAGACATCTCTCTACGTTAGACTTTGTGTCTGGGCCTGTAATATACCTAAAGATGGCCAATGGTAATATTCAAGATGTCTTTCATCTTGTCTTTCACAGATAGGTGTTTATCAGAAATATTTAAACGTATTCAAGTCTCCCCCATCTTCAAACAAGTATAAACCAGCAAAAGACAGCCGGGCACAGTGGCTCATGCCTGTAATCCCAGCACTTTGGGAGGCCGAGGCTGGCGGATCACGAGGTCAGGAGATCGAGACCATCCTGACTAACACAGTGAAACCCCGTCTCTACTAAAAATACAAAAAATTAGCCGGGCGTGGTGGCGGGTGCCTGTAGTCCCAGCTACTCCAGAGGCTTAGGCAGGAGAATGGCATGAACCTGGGAGGCAGTGGTTGCAGTGAGCCGAGATCATGTCACTGCACTCCAGCCTGGGCGACAGAGCGAAGACTCCGTCTCAAAAACAAAACAAAACGAAAAGAGCAAAAGACAAAACAACAAATAAATTTGCCACTTGCTCTGCTCTTGTTCATTTTTCGGAGGGTGTGGGGGTAGGATTGGGGTGTTATTGTTTTCTCTCCTTCGTTAGAAGCCAAACTTGCCAAAAAGTTATTCTTTCCTACATTCAGCTTTCATTATTTCACCTCCTATTTTCTCTTTAATTCAATGTATCATAATTCTCTTTGGCCCTAATTAAGACAAACACAAGCATTCTTGCTAAAATCACTAATTACATGCTGCTGAACCCATGCAACCTATTTTGTCTTTTCTTAACTTTATTTTTCAATAATACATCAAATACTGCCATTATCTACTTCTTAAAATTTCCATCCTTTGTCTTCCATAACTCTGTAGTCTCCTTCTGCTTTGGAAGCTCTTTCTTAGTCTCTTATATCTCATTATTCTCTACCATGGCATTGGATATTGGCATTTCTGAGGCTCATTTCTGGAATTCCCTCTTCTTTTCTGCTTCCGTGTTCTCCCTAGTTTAACTTATCTGTGTCTATGGTGCAGTTACTCAATTCTGATGATCTCTAAACTATTATTTCTCTCACAAACCTCTTAATCACCTGAAGAGTTAGGTACACAATCTGGCAAAATGTTTCACTCAGACATTTTGAGATTACATCAGAAGGAAGTGTCCCCAAACTGAATGCATGCTTTCCCTGGTGGTTTTCTCCAACTCTCTGTTCATCTCTGCAAGTGGCATTAACATTCATCCAATTGCCCAAGATAAAAACCTGAATTATCCTTGAAACTTCTTTTTCCCTCTCTTCTTATACACAACTTGTAACATAGGCCTATTGCTTCTATCTCATAAAACTATTTTGAATGTGTCCACTTCTCTCTTTCTCCATGAATACCCTTTTATATATGGTAATAGACATATTGATGGTCTCTTATCATCCAATTCCATGTCATTAAAACTTATTATTCATTTTATAGCCAGAGACGGCATATACATATGCATATTTTATTGTTAATCTCCTGCTTAAAACTCTCAAATTGTTTTTCAAATGCCTAAACAAGGCCTGTAATTTTGCTGTGTAAACCTTGGTGATGATGGAGATCGTGCCCAAGATTTGTAGGTTCTTGAGTTTATCATCTCTCTATTTGTTTCACCCATTCAATAAACAATTATTTAGTTCCTGATATATAAAATGCATTGTGCTATGCACTAAAAATATGCTGCTGAGAAAGAAAGATAGCATGGAAAACCTTCATAAAAATTGTGTTCTCAGGTAGAGGAGCAGTGGTGATGTAATTGTCTAATTTTTTACTCTGAGAGAGGACACTCCCATAGAAAATAAAATCACTTTACTTGCTCTCATAAGACATCAGCTCCAAGTAGTGGTGTGTTTCCCCAGAGCTAAGGATCACTGTAAAATGAGAGTTCCTCTTAGTCTTAGATAAAAGAACACTTAACTGACCTGGATAGATCCTTCATTTTTCTGGAACCAGTTTGGTTTTTCCACATATAATACACTTCCCTGTGATACTGAGCACGCCTCAAGTCCATCTTCGCATACCATTCTCAAAGGCCAATGCAAATAAAGCAACATAACTGTAGAAAGTGTGAGTTCAGAAACTAGAATCTAAAATAAAGTAGGAATTCTTTCTGGACACAACAATTTTTAAGATTTTTTGTTCCTTTCACATTCAAACTCTGGCCCATAAAGTCCAATATTTTTCCAGTATTTGAATCATGTCAGAGCCCCTCCTTGGCAGAGATGAGGTGGTGTGTATGTGGGTAAAAGATTTATATTTCATATATAATATATACACTTAGAGAGAGGACAGAGTAGTTAACTATTATATAAAAACATGACAAAGATGAAAAGAGAATCATAATGAATATGTAGGTAAGCCCACTGATGGAAAATTAAAAAAAACAAAACAAGAAACTCATATAATTGGAGTGGAGGAAAAGAGACTTTGTTGAATATAAAGATTGACATGTACTTAGGGAACCAGATCATAATTATTCTGAGCAGCACATAAAGAAATATGGATTTTATTCAAAAGGCAATTAAGAGGTTTATAGATTTTTTTATAAGATAGTACAATAAGACAAAACCTAGGAAAACTGCTTAAAATTCAGAAAATTAATATTTGTACTAGACAGTCAATTGAATATTTTATATTAAAAAAACTATTGGTTCCATTAGGGAAGCCTAGAGGCAAAATTTCAGACTAGAAGACGATTTTTGTGTGTAGAATAAATGTAAATAATAAAGCATCCTGTTGGGCTACTCTTGTCAAAATTTCTAAATTTTACTGTTTGATTTAGCATCCTTCCTTCTCCAAGCAAATCCTGAAATGTAGTCATTATTTTTACCAGTCTTGCTTCACTATTCTTCTCAATCTCTGGACATATCCTGGTCATCTCTGTATCTGTATTTTAATCATTGAATTTGCCTCCTCCTAATTTTTGCTAATCAGTGAGTTTCTTCCAAGCCTGCCTTAAACCACATTTTCTCATTTAACATTGACTAGCTTTATTTTGAATATCACCCTATGAAGTGCTTTTTTGTTTGTGCTTGTTGTTTCTACTTCAATTTTATTATGTCTTCTTGTTTTTATTTCCTCATAGCAGCAAGTAAAATGCTGGGCACAGAAGAGGCATTTAAATTAATAAACAAATTATCTATCACTTCTAAATTAATGATTTATTTTACCTGGTATGAGTCATTGTGTGATATTCAAAATAAAAGAAGTTGTCAGGAGCTTTGAAAAATTTAAGATGTGGCTGAATGAATAAAAAAATCAGAAAGCAAGAAAAACCAAAAACAATGACGTTTATCTCATTGTTTAAATCTCTTCATGGTGGTAAGTTTCACAAGAAATGTTCCTGAAACCTTTTATTTTCTAGTTAGTGCGGTAGAAAAATAACACAGATTCCTAGTAGGCCTAAAAAGATTTCTGGTTTTTTTTTTTAATTTTAATATAGCAAAGAGTTTAATTTCCAACCTATATAATCCCCAACATGGCATTTTCTTCTTTAGCTCTGGAAGCTATGCTCCTCCTCAGTTCCCATGCTAATTAATTAATGCACTAATTTATATTTCAAAAATATGTAATTTCTCACAAACTCTGGTAGGACCAAAAAAAAGAGCCAAATCACAGTGTGGGAGCAGTGTCTTACACCTGTAATTTTAGCACTTTGGGAGACCAAGTGGGGAGTATTGCTTGAGGCCAGGAGTTCAAGACCAGATTGGGCAACATAATGAGACCCTGTCTCTATCATTTAAATAAATAAATAAATAAATAAATAAATAAATAAATAAATCACAGAGCCCGACCTGAAATCTAATAAGCTATTCTTATTGTTTCTTAACATTTCAATTTCTTAGCAGCTATAATAATGAGTCAGATGGTACTTTTGGCATTTATCTGCTAACACATTTTAAGATCCACCCTTCTTTCTTCCCCTTCTGCCCGTATCTGGGGAAGCTGAAAAGAAAGCTCAGTTGCTCTGGGAAATTCCAAGCATGCGAGACCCTGCCTTTGCACAAGAACTTTCACCCCAACCTCAACCCCAACTCCTCATTTACTGTAAAAAGCCCAAGCCACCAATTTCCCATCCCTGCTCTCTAGACCTATTTTTAGATCAGCTTGGAGAATCTGATTGCTCTCCCCCAAAGCCACATTATGTGAATAAAAATATATCCAAATTTTTTGTGTGTAGCATTATAAGTCTTGACATCCAAACCAAATTTTAGGTGGGAGTCCCTCTCATTTCTAGGGAGTGGTATAACAATGGATTTTCTTAATTTTCAGAACTTTTCTCCAGAATAATTTTTTATTTTTCTTAAAGTAAGTCTATGATACTCCTCAGGACTCTCATTTTCTTGAGGGTTCAGGTTCCTGATGAATTTCTTTATTTGCTGTCAGCTAAGTCAAGAGATACGATTTTAAAATAATAATTTATACTGAAATATTATGTGTTGCTTTACTTGGGGTAATTTTTTAGAATAAGCTAGTTTGTTTTATGGCCAGAAGCAGAACACCCTTGCCATGTCTTAGAAACTATTGCAGTATCCTCCATCATTGATAGTACAAAAATATTTTCAGAGTACAGGAATTAACATTTGTTTCTTTCATAATTTACACATTTAACTTAAAATCCATCATAAAATATATATACATAAAAATTGGCCTACCAACTTTCTGTCAAACTTCTGATAACATGTATTTTATTTCATAGGTATAGAAAATCTATCAGTCTATATATGCATGTGCATTCATACATATTTGTAAGTTGTATGTATAAATATAAATTAAGTATGTTTTTTCACAAAAAAATGAATAAGGAAAATAATTTAAAGTTAGCTTACATTTCATATAAAGAAAGCAGTTTATAATAGCACAGGGATTTAGAAACCTAAAGGGCTAATAAGAATGACCAAAGTAAGGGAAACACTGCTCTATTTTATTCTTTCTACCAGGTTTTGAAAAATCTGTTTAAGTACTCTAACCTTGTCTTTTCAATTTCAGGTCTTCAGAAGCTTGTTTTTATTGGTAGTTCAGACCTGTTAACAGGCCATGCAATACAACTGATGATCTCAATTTACCTGATTCTCTATTTTCACCTCTAATTTTTTTCTCTAAGACCTGCATTCCAGTAATAGACTTTACTTCAATTCTCTAAAATGTGCTATGGACTATAAAGCCCTTTCTTATACTATTCTTTGTGCTGTAAAGGAAAGTCCTTCTTATTTCTGGCCTACTAAATCCTACTCATAATTGAGCTTTTGACTCAGCCCTTCAGGAAAGAGAAAATCCCCAGTATCTTTCCCAACAGCACCAGCTATCTCCTTTGGTATGTATAAGGAAATTACATAGGCCTCTATTACAGCCCTTGCCAGGTCAAACAGTAGTTTTTCATCGATGAGTAGGTATTCCATACTGTCCCCTTAAATCCAAATGGGAAGTCTTTATTTCACAACCATCAGTAAAGAACCCTAGCACAATGCCTTGTACACACAGCAGATAATCAATAAATATTTGGGACCATATACAAAAATTAACCCAAAATGGATTAAAAACTGAAATGTAAGACCTGAAGCTACAATAATCTTAGAAGAAAATATAGGAAAAACTCTTCTGGACATCAGCATGGGTGGCATGTATGACTAAGTCCTTAAAAGCAAATGCAACAAAAACAAAAACAAATAGGACTTAATTAAACTAAAAAAGCTTCTGCATAGGAAAAAAAAGAATAAAAAGACATCATACAGAATGGGAAAAATTATTTGCAGACTATGCATGTGACAAAGGGCTAATATCCAGAATCTACAAGGAACTCAAACAACCAAACCATAAAAAAAACAACAACAATAAAAAGTGGGCAAAGGACATGAACAGACATTTTTCGAAAGAAGACACGCAGATAGCCAACAAGCAGGTTAAAAAATGTTCAATATCATTAATCATCACAGGAATTAAAATTAAAATCACAATGAATTACCATCTCACACAAGTCAAAATGGCTATTATTTTAAAAGTCAAAAATCAACAGATCTTATTGAAGAAGTGGAGAAAAGGAAATGCTTATACACTAGCATGGGCATGAAGATTAATACAACCTCTAGGGAAACCAGCATGGAGATTTCTCACATAACTAAATATGGAACACCATTTGATCTAGCTAGTCCACTAGTGGATATCTACTCAAAGAAAAATAAATTGTTTTATCAAAAAGACAACTGCACTTATACATTTATTGCAGCTCTATTTACAATAGCAAAGCCATGGAATCAACCTAAGTATCCATTAATGGATAATTAGATAAAGAAAATTTAGTATCTATCTATCCATACATGTATGTATGTGTGTGTGTGTGTGTGTATATATATATATATATATATATATATATATATATAAAATAAAAACACACAAACACACACACACACACACTCACACCCCATGGCATACTACTCAACCATAACAAAAAATAAAATCATGTATTTTACAGCAACATGGATGGAACTGGAGGCCATTATTCTAAGTGAAATAATTTAGAAATAGATAGTCAAATACCACATGTTTTCACTTATAATTAGGAGCTAAACTATAGGTACTTATGGACATATAGAATGAAATAACAGACATTAAAAACTCCAAATGGGCCGAGCACGGTGGCTCACGCCTATAATCCCAGCACTTTGGGAGGCCAAGGCAGGGGGATTACAAGGTCAGGAGATCAAGACCATCTTGGCTAACACGATGAAACCCCTTCTCTACTAAAAGTACAAAAAATTAGTCAGGTGTGGTGGCGGGCGCCTGTAGTCCCAGCTGCTCAGAGACTGAGACAGGAGAATCGCTTGAACCCCTGAAGCAGAAGTTGCAGTGAGCTGAGATCATGCCACTGCACTCCAGCCTGGGTGACAGAGGGAGACTCTGTCTCAAAAAAAATAAAATAAAATAAAAAATAAATAAACTCCAAATGGTGGAATAGTGCAAGTGGGATAAGGGTTGAAAAATTACTTATTGGGTACAATGTTCACTACTGGGGCAATGAGTATATTACACGGCCAGACTACACCACTACACAATATATCATGTAACAAAACTGCACTTGTACTCCATAAATCTACCAAAAAAATTGTAAGAACATTCTCTTTTAATATAAGAGCTATATGAAAAGGTTTCATTTATCTTTCATAAAAGCTTAACTTTTTAAATGTTCTATTAAGTACATTTGGGTAGAGGACTGTTTTAATGGAATTAATTTACTTAATAGCTTAACACAACATTCATTAGGTATTTTTCCTCTAGAGCCACAAATGCTTTCTTGATGACGGTGTCTAAAGGGGCGGAGTATAGGCTGTAAGAAGCATAAGCTTTCTCTTCTATGTAAAAAAGAGTTAATGTAGAAGTCTCACTGTCATTCTTTCAAATGCCTTCTTATAAAGTTGGCTCTTAGTTGGTATCTGAGAACTTAGCTTTCAGGTTTCCCACCATGCTCAGAACTGGTAAGAGTGAATGACCATGTCTGAACTCTTTGTACAAACAGTATGATTTATACTAAACATCTGTTTTTCTTGTGGCAGCCTGCAATTTATGCATGTGCCAGCAGGAGCTACCTACTTGACTAGACCCCAGCAAAAATCCTGAGTACTAAGTCTTTAATGACCTTCCCTAGCTGTCAACATTTCACAAATGTCACAACTCATTGCTGGGAAAATTAAGTGAGTCCTATATGACTCTATGACTCCACTGGGAAAAACCCTTAGAAACATGTGCCTGGATTCCCCAGGACTTCACCACC
This sequence comes from Homo sapiens, assembly GCF_000001405.40. Classification (NCBI taxonomy): domain Eukaryota; kingdom Metazoa; phylum Chordata; class Mammalia; order Primates; family Hominidae; genus Homo; species Homo sapiens. The sequence goes on from NC_000002.12 coordinate 83,233,649, forward strand.
CTATGTGCTTTTTTTTTTTTTTTTTTTGGCCATTTTGCTTTTAAGTGCATCTGCCACTGTAAATCATAGTCATGACTAGGACAATATGTTGAGCCCACCTAGTGAATGATCTAACCAGGAGGGTCTTGGGAACCTCCAACAATTTCAAACCATGTCTTCCTCCCTAATACTTTCTTATTTTTGTCCTCACTTAAAGCCACCTTATATCTGCTCTCCAAATTTTATTTCCACTTCGTTTTTATCTTCCTTTTTCTTTCTTCTCTCCATAGAAAACAGGACCTGTTAGCTGTACACTTCCCTGAAACTAGATCCATTTACATATTCAATCTTTCACTGAACTATGAAAACTCATTGATTTATTCAATAAGCATGTAACAGGCATTTGTTACATTCCAGGCTCTGGAAAACAAGCTCAGTAAGAGAGTCTTATTCAGTCACTTAAACCTTACATTCAAACGAGGAAAACAAATTAGTAAGAAAGCAATTATTTTGTTGTGGCTATATACTGCATTATGAAAAACCACCCCAAAAGCTATTGGTTTCAAGTATCAATTTTATTTTGCTCATATTTTGTAGGTCAGACATTTAGGAGCTTAGCTGAACAATAGGTCTCTGGTGCATGTGGTGTCAGCTGCAGCCTCATGACCAGAAGACCCACTTCCATAATGGTTTTTTTCACTTACTTGATTGACATCTTATTGTGCCTTGGCTTCTCTCTTTCTCTCTTTACCTAGCATCTCAATTGCCATGTAAATGTGGCTTAGGCTTATTACCACATGATGAACCCAGGGCAATCACAATTCTTACAAAGAGGCTGGTGTCCAAGTGGCAGCAATCACAGCTGCCAGAGGCCTCTTAAAGAATCTTCTCATAACTGGCATAGTGTCAACTCTGACATGTTCTATTAGTCAAGTCAGTTGCAAGTCCTGCCCAGATTCAAGGAGTACAGATATAGACCCCATCTCTTTATAGGGGTTTGGCAAGTCACAGTGCAGAAAAGCTTATTGAATGGGAGCTATTGTGGCAGGCATTTGGGGAAATGCAAACTACCCCATATTGCATTGTGGATCAAGTTTTACACAGATTTAAAAATGGTTTGTCGGAGAACAGAGAACCTATCTTAGAACAATAAAGTTCAGTAGTTTTCCTGGAAGAAAAATGGGTTGAATCCTAATGAAGGTACCAGAGGCGAATATGTTCTAGGCTGAGATGGCACTAAGGTAAGACCCAGAGGTGTGAATGAACACTTTTATTTCTAAACTTAAACAATTCCTGGAATTGTCTTTTTTTGGAGAGTAGGTTTCAGCGGCGTGATGGGAGGTGTGGCTGATGAGGGTAACAGTGCATGTAATGGGCTTTCTATAATCTCCTAGCACTGGGATCTGCAGTCATGTTTTCTAAAGGGCCAGAGAGTAAATATTTTAGGCTTACAAGCCAAGAAACAGATCAAGGATATTGTGTAGGCAATTATATAATCACTTACAGTATAATGATTGTTTAAAGGTAAAAATGATTCTTAGCTTCCAGAGCTTAACAAAACAAGTGGTGAGTTAGATTTGGCCCATGGGTCATAATTTGCTAACTCCTGCTGCAAAAGGTTTTGAATTTTAGTCTATAGGCAGTCATTAAAAAGATTTTATTTAGCAGAAACATATGGTCAGAGGTGAATTTTGAAAAGATCAATCTGGTATCATCATGGGAATAGAGGCAAAACTAGTGACTGTAACGAGTTTCTGCTAGCGAAGAAGTTGTTGAAGCAATCTAAGTGGATATGATAGTTATCAGAACTAAAAAAGTACATTGAGTAGAGCTTTGTATCTCCTTAGAGATGCCATACATCGAAGTGTGAAGAAAGAGTGGTTAATCAAGAATAACTTGCAGTTTCTTATGTATTTCTTATGTATAAAATTGGGCATTACTCATGAAATGCCATTAAAAAAAAGCCCAGGAGGAGATGTAGGTAGAGATGATGGGTTATGACTTAAATATAACTAGTTATTTTTAAAGTCCATGAATAAACCAGATATGGAGATATATTTTCTGTAGTTATTCATTAGTATGTGTTTATGTTTTGGGGAGAGCTCTTATTGGTCATAAAGATGTGGAAGTCATTAATCTATTAACAATAACTGAAACCACAAGAATGACTGGCCTTACCAAATGTAAAGATGCAAACTGGAATTTAAGGAGTCCACATCTTTCCTACAATATTATTAGACATGTATGCTTGTATTCCAGAATTGCTTAATTCAGAATGTCCCTTTTTAGCTTACATGTAGTTCTCCCTGGTAGCAACTTTACGCTTTAATAGCATTGATTCTTAGATTTCCATTTGTTGCAATTACTTAGACAAGCCTTTTTGTGATTGATTTAAACCCTTACATTTAACATAATGCACCCAAAATTTGGTTAGTTGTCTGTAATCTTAATATGTCTACACCTTAGACTGATATTGATAATATGTCTCATTTTCACATATCTTTAATCTTTGACTTTCTGAAAAGGTATTTTAAACAAATGGCTCAAATCATGATACACAATTAGTTCCAGATTGCAAAGAATTGTCCCCAACTACATTCTAAAAATTATCATATGCTCTGTGTGACTGAGAATAGCAAAAGTCTGTTTTGACAGTAATGTTTCTCAGAAAGAAAAGACAAGAATGAGTCCAAAAGAATGTCTCACTTTAACAGTTTCTTATCATGCCATATTACATAAGGCCTAGTACTGCTACTGAGCTAAATGGAGGTCCTATAAAATTAATTTTCTTGTATACACTTGTTCTTACAACAAATATTGATCAAGCAACTTCTGTATTAGTCTTACCAAATCTTCATATATAATTCCACAGGGTCAAGCTGATATTCTATATTAAGTTGTGGCCTGATTGGTTTGTTTTATTTTAGCCACATTTTGTAATGTGACCCTCACATCATCCTTGAAAAGAAGACAAAATACATAGAAATCTATAGTAAGTGGAAATCTATGGTATAGAAGTGATAAATGGCTACAGACCATGAAAATATTCCCCTTCACCCTGAGACTTGTGTATTGCACAGGTTGATAACTACTGGTCAATGATTCCTTCCTTGGCACTGAAGTATGTTCTGGACTTTTTTAAAGATGAAGGTCAGACTGACTTACATGGAAGAAAATGAACCAAATGTTGTGTATTGGAAATAAACTCTAATTAGTTTCCAAAATGTAATGTTTATAGACAAATGCAACTTCTAATTATAAAGTACTGGTTTTTTTTGGCAATCATTGGAACAATTATTTTCATTAACTGTTATTGAGTGGAAGACCACATAACATTAGAGCCATTAACTGGCACAATGCAAAATAGATTTGACTTTCCTTCTCAATGAAACCAGACATCTTGAGAGGGTTGAACTAACTAAACAATTGTTTGAGGACTCCTGAGAAAGTAGTTTATAGTCAGGTAGAAGGTACATAGGGCCAGACTAGTATAAGAAATTTGTTTTATTAATACTAAGCATATTGGCCTACTAAATTTCTATAGTAAAAATATTTATGTGTAAAAATAGGAATAATCATGTAGTGTAAGGAATGATGTTTCAGCATCATTCCTTCAAATCCTTCCAGATCTTCAAATCTTCTGTTTTGAGTATCCATCATTTACTGGGCTTCGCCAATATTAAGATTTGTCTCTTTGTGTTTGAAACATTGGTATTTGACATTTATTTCCTCCTTTCTGTCTAAGTAACTAGTGCTTATAACTAATAGGCACTAGGCCTAATATCTGGGTGATGAAATAATCTGTACAACAAACATGCATGACATGAGTATATCTATATAACAAACCTGTCCTTTCTGCCCTCTTCAGTGGGTCCTTTCTTATTTCTGTGCTACATCCAGGTGCTATAATTTCTCACCTACTTTTGATAGGTCTTGTGAAGGTATTTTCATGTATGTATAGTTGTTCAAATTGATGTTTCTGTGGGGGTACTAGCAGTGGAATGTCCTATTCTTCCATCTTGCTGATGCCTGATCTCTCTTTTCTCTTAAACCTGGACATACAGTATTTAGAAGCTGGAGATGAATGGATACTGCTTCCTGAATGACCCATACAGATTATGACTTGACTAAGAAATACCATTATTGGTTAAGCCATTGACATTAGGGGATGCTTATTTCAGCATTTGCCATTATTTGCTCAGACAAACCCAACTTTTCACTTGCCATTATTAGAGTAGAAATTGAGTAACTGTCATGCTTATTTGCAGACATGTATCAGATTTACCTGGACACTTTTGAAGAGAATGAACATCTAGCCCAGTCCAATTAGGTTGATGGTGAATGCATAATGGGCATGTGTGTGTCTCAAAAAACTTACATATACATTAGTCCCCCCTTATCCAAGGGTCATACATTCCAAGACTCTCAGTGGATGCACAAAGCCACAGAAGATAGTGAACCCTATATGTACTATGTTTTCTCCTATACACATGCCTATGATAAAGCTTAAAATTAGGCAGAGTAAGAGATTAACAACAATAATAATAAAATGAAACAATTATAACAACATCCCAGCATCACTACTCTTGTGCTTTAAGATAATAATTGAGTAAAATATGGAACACAAGCACTGTGATACCAAACAGTTGATGTCATCAGCAAGACAGCTACTATGTATCATATACAGCATGGTTATGCTAAACAAAGGGATGAATGGAACAGGATGGGGCAAGATTTCATCACATTACTCAGAAGAGTGCACAATTTAAAACCTATGGATTGGGACGGGCATGGTGGCTCATGCCTGTAATCCCAGCACTTTGGGAGACCAAGGCAGGCGGATCACCTGAGGTCAGGAGTTTGAGACCAGCCTGGCCAAAATGGTGAAATCCCTTCTCTACCAAAAATACAAAAATTAGTCGGGTATGGTAGCAGGCACCTGTAATCCCAGCTGCTCAGGAGGCTGAGGCAGGAGAATCGCTTGAACCCAGGAGGCAGAGGTTACAGTATGCCAAGACTGCACCACTGCACTCCAGCCTGGGCAACAAGAGTGAAACTCTGTCTAAACAAAACAAAACAAAACAAAGCAAAACAAAAAAACCTTATGGATTGTTTATTTCTGGAATTTTCTATTTAATATTTTTGGACCACAGTTGCTCATGAGTAACTGAAACCACAGAAAGTGAAACCACAGATAAGAAAAGGTACATAATTCTGATCCTTATTTATGGTCCGGAATTTCTCTCTAAATTTCTTATCGTAGGAGTATATTATCCTTCATAAAGACCAGCTTAAATCAATCATTTCAAATTCATTATACATATATTCACAGCTATCACTTGGTATTCTTATAATTTAAAATAATTATGATTGACTTATTCTACGTCAAAATTCTAGGTAGCATACTTCATGCATAGTCATTATCAGAAGTAACTTCCAATAAATATTTTAGATAAAAGGAAAATCCAATCTAATATGGTCACCTGGCTCACCACTTTGCTGAAGGTTACTCAGTTTTCTAAGATGCAATTTAGACTTATATATCTTACATTTACTTTTCATCTTAAAAATTTCTGCCAAATAATAATGAATAAATTTAGCCTACAAAGAAAGGCAGTTTTCTTAATCCCATATTTCATCTCAGAAACTGACTACATTTGTTGAGGACACAAAAAGACAAGGAAATATTGGGATGACAAGGCTACACAAAATATCTCTGATGAGTCAGTGGATCCAAAACATACCTACATAATACATAAAGATATAGCTGGAAAATCCCTTATGTTAACTGCAGGTTAAATCATCAAAGACATCCTTTATTAATTTACTTTTTTATACATTCAAAATTCAAAAATATCTATCGTGTAACTCCTATTTTTCAGGTCTAGGATTTGCTAGTAGAACAATGACTATAGCGTCTTTCCTTTTTAATGAGATAGAGTTCACAATATGTTTGCCATCTGGTATCAAAGAGTAGGCAAAGAACTTAAAAGTAAGAATGATGTTCTGGCCGGGCGCGGTGGCTCACGCCTGTAATCCCAGCATTTTGGGAGGCTGAGGCAGGTGGATCACGAGGTCAGGAGATCGAGACCATCCTGGCTAACACGGTGAAACCCCGTCTCTACTAAAAATACAAAAAATTAGCCTGGCGCGGTGGTGGGCGCCTGTAGTCCCAGCTACTCAGGAGGCTGAGACAGGAGAATGGCGTGAACCCGGGAGACGGAGGTTGCAGTGAGCCAAGATCCCGCCACTGCACTCCAGCCTGGGTGACAGAGCGAGACTCCGTCTCAAAGAAAGAAAGAAAGAAAGATGTTCTGACCTCAAGTTTGGAGAAAACGAGTTGTAGGTTGTGGGACCCATCGAAAATAGTCCATTCTTTGTTTAACAAAGACAGTATCAAGATAGCAAGACAGGAGCTCAAGCCAGGAAAAATTTGAAAAAAGAACTAAAATGTAAACCCATACACTTGCATTTTGCTGCTGTTTATGCTATTCTTTATGTTTATTGTTCACAAATAATTTTTTAAAATCAGCACTAGAAAAGTAATAAAAATTTGGAAAAGAAGAGGAATAGTGACTATTGGTGTAGGTAGTTTGTTAAATGGCTCTAGTCTGATGGGTTGGAAGGCTGTGGAAAAAAGGCTCAATCAGAATCATTATTACAGTTTGTATGCAAAAGAAAAACAGGATGAAATCAAGAAGAACATTTTATATTTTTGTAAGTGTGTAGGTAATTTTTAATGAGTTGAAGTGTAGTTTTATGCAAAGATATATCAGAACTGAGTGTTTTGTATTGCTGAGTTGTATATGTCAAAGTCATCAGTAAAAACTTTTGATTTTGAAGTGTACGACAGAGGATAACAATTGTTAACCAAGGCCTTTAGACAGTCACATACACCCATGGGACATCACTAACAATGTGATGGGTTTCTCACCAGGTTCTATGCAAAATCAGTAGGTATGTGTCACCTTATTATGGTAAGTAAAACTTGAGCAGTAATGACAATCTGCTTTCCTTATTTTGAGACTAGTCTAGATCACAGCCACTGACTCCACCTGATTTCTCTCATAGCTCTTGTCTCTGCCACTTTATTAAGCTGGAATGTGTGACGTCCTATGGCATAAGATTAAATGGTATAATTCATGTGGAAGCTCTGAAAGCTGTAGACTGCATATTAGTTATTGCACTGCATTATTCATGAACAAATGTGATGTTTCAGACCAAACAAGCTGGACAGTGGGTTGCTTGTTATTTTGTTGGCACTAAGAATGAATCTCTGCTTAGTATTTTTTTCCAAACGAGTTGCTTTAAGAGCCCATATTTGGGGAGTTAGAGATTATCCCTCCAGGGAAAACAAGTGTTCTATTTGAAAATCCTCTTGGGAAGTTAACACACTAACTAAGCTACCACCTATTTTCATTTTAGAATAAAATACTGTATTTTTCTTTCCCTTTGATAGCAAAATACTGAAGAATGTAAGATGCTATAGGACAAAATTCAGTAAGTTTGTGTAGCAGTGTAGACTTTTCTAGAGAGAGAAAGAGTAGATGACTGCCCTTGGGCAGCAGGAAAAAATTAGTGTGAATGAGCCCTGGTCAGAGTCAGAAGAATCCTCTCTGCATCTTGGCCTTGCCACCAACTGCTTTTATAACCTCGGAGGCATCTACCTTTCATTCTAGATGTACACATTTTAATAGCAATATTGCCAAAGTTTGAAAATTCTAAGCAGTTTAGAATATATGAGAAAATTCTAAGGAGTATTTACCTCTGTGCAAATAATGTAATCATACACAGCTTTAAGGTCATTTATTTCCCTAAACTTGACATTTCACATCTACTAGTTCTAATAGTATATGAATTTCCATTTTGTCTATTTTTTCTAATTTATTATTTATTCTAAATCATGAAGTAGAATTAAACCAGGCTAATTATTAACATGTTATTGCTTTATATTAAATATAATCGAACCTTCTTAAATAGCAAATACAAATTATTTTCCAGATAATTACATTTTTAAAAAGGACTCAAATAAACCTTAGTAAATATTGCTTCCATGATTAGATGAAAATGAGTAAGAAACATACAGATTAAGTGGCTTTAAAGAAAAATAAAAGAAGCACTACAGGAAGAAGGCTTTTTGGTTTTAAAGTTTAAGATATGGATAATACTAGATTTATTCTAGTTAGCATGTGCTTTTCACATTAAACGAAAAAAGCAAAACTAAAATTTTTACAAAGAATTTTTTTCACAGGCATTTTTTAGGTTTATCTCTGATGTTTTGATTAGATTGATTTGATTGAGAAAAAATTATGTTTTACAGTAATCTTTTTCAGAAGAAATTCAGCTTTACTTTACATGTGTTATTTCTTCTTTAAGCCATCTCTCTGTCCTCTTCCTTAAGCCACTTTCTTATGTTTCACTGTTTCCTGTTATACCTCATTGGGTTCTGATTATAAGGCAAAGGTCAAGCAGTCAAAGGGAGGAATTCAAATTTTAGATTTGCTTTTTTTGTGCATCATTTACTACCATGTTCACTCATCCCACAGAATGTACAGTGTTTAAGGTCTTGTGTTACGGCTTTTCCAGTTTTATCAGGGCATAATTGACAAACATTATATCCGTTTAAAGTATACTCTTGGTTGGATGCAGTGGCTCACGCCTGTAATCCCAACACTTTGGGAGGCCAAGGCAGGCGGATCACGAGGTCAGGAATTCAAGACTAGCTTGGCCAACTTGGTGAAACACTGTCTCTACTAAAAATACAAACATTATCTGGGCATAGTGGTGCGCACCTGTAATCCCAGCTACTCAGGAGGCTGAGGCAGGAGAATCACTTGAAGCCAGGAGTCAGAGAGATTGCAGTGAGCCAAGATCGTGCTACTGGACTCCAGCCTGGGCGACAAGAGTGAAACTCCATCTCAAAAAAATAAATAAGTAAATAATGTGTACTCTTTGTTTGTTGTTACTAATTTTGGTTGCCTAAATTATGTTAAACCTATGTGAATATAACCTCTGGGCCTATAAGACTCCTTTTAGGTACTGAATTCAGCACCATAGCATGCATTGAATACCGTGAGAAAAGAGACTTTCCTGTGTATATGCACCAATGGTCTTAGTTTCTGAAAGAACCTCCACAAATTCTTGCACACATGACAGACATTTCTGCTACTGACCACGTATTCAGGTCATTGTGCTAATCCTTCTCTTATACTTTATAATTTGATATCTTGCTTTTGGACGTTTGAGTCTGCTCAACAGTGATCACCTTTCTGTTCACCCGCTATATCTCCTTGTGTTTCAGTGATCCAGAAGCCAATCTGAGCCTGAATCTACTTCTCACAGGCTGTGCTATAGCTAGGCATCCATTGTTGTCACTACAAAAAACAAGACCTGAGGAAGCAAGACTTCAGCATGTACTTTAAGTAATAATTTTGAATCCATGTCAAATGGATTCTAAATATAGCATGGTACACTTAAGACAGTTAATAATAACATATATTTATTAAATTACTGCCCAGGCATGATAATCAGTACATTTTATACATCTTACCACTTACTTTACATGGCAATATTAAAATACTTACTTAAAATTAGGAAACTGAGACATAAAAAGATTAAATAACCTTGCCCAACCATCTAGCAGTGTCATAGAACTGGTAAATAAAATGTTTAGATCAATCATAATGATTAATTCTGACACCTAAGTCTACGCTCTGGTCCTTTAAATATATAGATATACATAGACCTATAAATATAGATATAAAGAGAATTTAGCAGAATGATTTATAATCCTTTGGGTATATACCCAGTAATGGGATGGCTGGGTCAAATGGTATTCCTAGTTCTAGATCCCTGAGGAATTGCCACACTGTCTTCCACAATGGTTGAACTAGTTTACAGTCCCACCAACAGTGTAAAAGTGTTCCTATTTCTCCACATCCTCTCCAGCACCTGTTGTTTCCTGACTTTTTAATGATCACCATTCTAGCTGGTGTGAGATAGTATCTCATTGTGGTTTTGATTTGCATTTCTCTGATGGCCAGTGATGATGAGCATTTTTTCATGTGTCTGTTGGCTGCATAAATGTCTTCTTTTGAGAATTGTCTGTTGATATCCTTCACCCACTTTTTGATGGTGTTTTTTTTTTTCTTATAAATTTGTTTGAATTCTTTGTAGATTCTGGATATTATTCCTTTGTCAGATGAGTAGATTGCAAAAATTTTCTCCCATTCTGTAGGTTGCCTGTTCACTCTGATGGTAGTTTCCTTTGCACACGTATGTTTACTGCAGCACTATTCACAATAGCAAAGACTTGGAACCAACCCGAATGTCCATCAATAATAGACTGGATTAAGAAAATGTGGCACATATACACCATGGAATACTATGCAGCCATAAAAAATGATGAGTTCATGTCTTTTGTAGGGACACGGATGAAGCTGGAAACCATCATTCTCGGCAAACTTTCACAAGGACTAAAAACCAAACACCACATGTTCTCACTCATAGGTGGGAATTGAACAATGAGAACACTTGGACACAGGAAGGGGAACATCACACACCGGGGCCTGTTGTGGGGTGGGTGGAGTGGGGGAGGGATAGCATTAGGAGATATACCTAACGTGAATGATGAGTTAATGGGTGCAGCACACCAACATGGCACATGTATACATATGTAGCAAACCTGCCTGTTGTGCACATGTACCCTAGAACTTAAAATATAATAAAAAAAAATTTTTTTTTAAATGTTAACTAATGGGCTATCAACAAAATAAAAAATAAAAAAAGAATTTAAGTACTTAAAGATATGGATGCTAATATATAATTTTCATCAAACAAGTAATACTTCCTTCTTTTTTTTTTTTTTTTGAGACAGAGTTTCACTCTGTTGCCCAGGCTGGCTGGAATGCAGTGGTGCAATTTTGGATCACTGCAACCTCCACCTCCCAGGTTCAAGCCATTCTCCTGCCTCAGCCCCCCAATTAGCTGGGACTACAGGTGTATGCCACCATGCCTAGCTAATTTTTTGCATTTTTAGCAGAGACAGGATCTCACCATGTTAGCCTGGCTGGTCTTGAACTCCTGACCTCAGGTGATCCACCCACCTCAGCCTCACAAAGTGCTGGTATTACAAGCATTAGCCACCACGCCCAACCACAAGTAATACTTCCTTAATGTGAAAAATTTGTAAGATAAGAATGAGCTAAAAGAACATTAACAACAGAGGGCACTTTTGCAATGGCAGAGTAAAGTGCTCTAAAAATCCACTTGGCATAAGGACAAAGAAAATAGTGGCAAACGCTCCAGCCTGGGCGACAGAGCGAGACTCCGTCTCAAAAAAAAAAAAAAACTCTATAATAAATTTATTAAATACTTGCAATTATCTGAGGAGTATTAATTTTTAAAAATGACTAGACCTATGTAAGAGCAGCTTGCTTTGTAACATTTTAATCTACCCTAACCCTATCACCTTCCTCCCAATTTTTCAGTAGCCTTGAAAACCAACAAACTCACAACTACAATATCTATGAAAACAAGCAGCCTGGGATCACTGGAGCCGGCAGGGTGGGTTTGGTTATCCCCAAAAGTCCTATTGTGTCCGGAATTGGTGGGTTCTTGGTCTCACTGACTTCAAGAATGAAGCCACGTCACGGTGAGTGTTACAGCTCTTAAGGTGGTGCGTTTGGAGTTTGTTCCTCCTGATGTTAGGATGTGTTCAGAATTTCTTCCTTCTGGTGGGTTCGTGGTCTCGCCAGCTCAGGAGTGAAACTGCAGACTTTCGTGGTGTTACGGCTCATAAAGGCAGTCTGGACCCAAAGAGTGAACAGCGGCAGGATTTATTGCAAAGAGTGAAAGAACAAACCTTCCACAGTGTGGAAGGGGATCCCAGCGGATTGCCACTGTTGGCTGGGGCAGTCTGCTTTTATTCTCTTATCTGGCCCCACCCACATCCTGCTGATTGGTAGAGCTGAGTGGTCTGTTTTGACAGGGCGCTGATTGGTGCGTTTACAATCCCTGAGCTAGACACAAAGGTTCTCCATGTCCCCACCAGATTAGCGGAGTCTCCACACAAAGTTTCTCCAAGTCCCCACCAGAGTAGCTAGATACAGAGTGTTGACTGGTGCATTCACAAACCCTGAGCTAGACACAGGGTGCTGATTGGTGTTTACAAACCTTGAACTAGATACAGAGTGCCGATTGGTGTATTTACAATCCCTTAGCTAGACATAAAGGTTCTCCACTTCCCCACCAGACTCAGGAGCCCAGCTGGCTTCACCCAGTGGATCCCGCATGGGGGCTGCAGGTGGAGCTGCCTGCCAGTCCCGCACCATGCGCCCACACTCCTCACCCCTTGGGTGGTCGATGGGACTGGGCACCATGGAACAAGAGGCAGGGCTCCTGGGGGAGGCTCGGGCTCACAGGAGCTGACGGGGGAGGGAGGGGGAGGCTCAGGCATGGCCGGCTGCAGGTCCCGAGCCCTGCCCCGCGGGAAGGCAGCTAAGGCCCGGCGAGAAATTGAGCACAGCAGCTGCTGGCCCAGGTGCTAAGCCCCTCACTGCCCAAGGCCAGTGGGGCCGGCCGGCCGCTCCCAGCGGGGGGTCCGCCAAGCCCACGCCCACCCGGAACTCACGCTGGCCCACAAGCACCATGCGCAGCCCCGGTTCCTGCCTGCCCCTCTCCCTCCACACCTCCCCGCAAGCTGAGGGAGCTGGCTTCAGCCTTGGCCAGCCCAGAAAGGGGCTCCCACAGTGCAGCGGCAGGCTGAAGGGCTCCTCAAGTGCCACCAAAGTGGGAGCACAGGCAGAGGAGGTGCCGAGAGCGAGCAAGGACTGTGAGGACTGCCAGCACGCTGTCACCTCTCGCTATCACCAGAAACGTTTCACCCTTTGATATGACTGACAGCTAACTGAAAAGCTCAGTTCCCAGAGCTTGGCATTACTTGTGCTGATCCAGAATGAACTCTCTGCAAATAGCTTTATCCTGTGTGCATTTGTCAAAAAACAACCGCAGCAATAGTTTAAGATTTACAGCTGCCAGGCCGGGTGCGGCGGCTCACACCTATAATCCCAGCACTTTGGGAGGCCGAGGCAGGCAGATCACGAGGTCAGGAGTTTGAGACCAGTCTGGTCAACATGGTGAAACCCTGTCTCTACTAAAAATACAAAAATTAAGCTGGGAGTGGTGGTACATGCCTGTAATCCCAGCTACTCGGGAGGCTGAGGCAGGAGAATCACTTGAACCCAGGAGGCAGAGGTTGCAGTTAGCCGATATTGTGCCACTGCACTCCAGCCTGGGCAACAGAGTGAGACTCCATCTCAAAAAAAAAAAAAATTACAGCTGCCTGAAATGATAATACCAATTGAGTCTATGAAAGTCTACAATGTTAAAAGAAAATCTGCGGAATAAGATGTCCATAAAGGGTTTTGAAAAACACCGACATATTATTGAGAATCTATATGACCACACTCATGTCTAGGGCTGTGTGCATTTCCATGAAAAACTGAAGACGTTCCTAGTCTGTCACCTCCAACTGACATTAAGTCTCTGCACAAGCAGAAAGTGAAGACTAAGAGATGTTAGTTGCCTGTTGAAGAATTAAAGAGGTACCATAGTACACACACAGACTGGGAAATTTGAGGAATAGCTGTGAAATCATGAAATGACCAAAAAGTTACCCAAGTGGAGATTTTAGTGGTTGCATAAAAGAACTCATTAAACTTTACTTATTCATCTACTAAAGTCACTAAACGAACAAAAAGCAAGAAGAAACAAAATGGCAAAAGCAACAAAACTTGGGGAGCTGATTACGAGGATTGGCATATGTTATTTAAAATGGCTACTTTAAACAAAAATGTATGAGAACTATGAAGAAACAGAGCAATATGGCCTATACAGGGGATACAGAGATGCAGGAAAGCTGTCACTAACAACCATCTTTGAGGAGAACTAGACATTGGACTTATGAGACAAAGATTTTAGTGCCATTATTATAAATATGTTCAAAGAACTAAAGGAAACAGTGTCAACAGAATTATAGAATAGCGTGAGAATAACTCATCACATGAAGAATACTGATAAAGAGACAGAAATTATAAAAAGAGAACCAAGTAAAATTTTGGAGCTAAAAATTATGACAACTGAAATATAAAACAAAATGAAACAACAACAAAAACTCTAAAGAAGCCCTCATCGGCACATTTAAAATTGAAGAAGACAGATTTGTTTTTTAAAAAATACCTTGAATTTCAGTCTGAGGAACAGAAATCAAAAAGTGAAAAAAAATTAACATAGCTTCAGAGACTGTCAGACACTATAAAGCATACCTGCATATGCAAAATAATTGTGTCAGAAGGAGAGAAAAGAGAGCGAGATAAGGGGATAAAGAAAGAATATTTGAAAAAAAAAGTCTGAAAACTTCCCAAACGTGATGAAAGACAAACCTACACATCTAAGAAGCTAAATAAAATCCAAATAGGGTAATTCAAAGAGACTCACACTGAGACACATCATAATCAAACTGTGGAAATCTAAGGATAGAAAATATTGGTTTTCTGTTTCTTTGTTTTAGGTCCTGGCATTCCGGTTACTTTGTGTCAAAACACCAGCTGGACATATAACGCACACACAAAAAAACAGTATTTGTAAAAATAATCAGGAAAGGTCACTAAACAACTATTAACAATTTAAAAGACAGAGAAAAATCTTAAGATTGAGAATATTATTTGAAGAGTTACCACATTCCAGTGTCCCATTTTCTTTTCTTTTCTTTTCTTTCTTTTTTTTTTTTTTTGAGACAGAATCTTGCTCTGTTGCCCAAGCTGGAGTGCAGTGGTGCAGTCTTGGCTCAGTGCAACCTCCACCTCCCGGGTTCAATCAATTCTCCTGTCTCAGCCTCCCGAGTAGCTGGGTTTACAGGCACACAACACCACGCCTTGCTAATTTTTTGCATTTTTATTAGAGATGGGGTTTCATTATGTCGTTCAGGCTGGTCTCAAACTCCTGACCTTGGGATCCACCCGCCTCGGCCTCTCAAAGTGTTAGGATTACAGGCTTGAGCCACTGTGCCTGGCCTCAAGAGTCCAATTTTCAACAAAAAATTGCAAGGCATACCAAGAGAGAAAAATATGGCCATTTTCTCAATGAGGCAAATCCCTTAAGAACATAAATGCAAAATCACAACAAAATCAAGAAAATTGAATCTAGCAACTTATAAAAATTATCATATACCGTGCCCTAATGTCCAGACCCGGCCTGTTTCTAAATTTTATATGAAAATGTAACTGCCCAATGGGTTCACCTTGCCCACTTCCTAGACAGAGCATATTTATCAAGACAAGGGAATTGCAATGCAGAAAGGGTAATTCACACAGAGGAGGCTGTGCAAGAGACCGGAGTTTTATTATTACTCAAATCAGTTTCCTGAAGCATTCGGGGATCAGAGATATTAAAAATAATCTGGGCCGGGCATAGTGGCTCATGCCTGTAATCCCAGCACTTTGGGAGGCTGAGGCAGGTGGATCACCTAAGGTCAGGAGTTCAAGAACAGCCTGGCCAACATGGTGAAACCCCCTCTCTACTAAAAACACAAAAAAGTAGCCAGGCGTGGTGGTGAGCACCTGTAATCTCACCTACTCAGGAGGCTGAGGCAGGAGAATCGCTTGAATCCAGGAGGCGGAAGTTGAAGTAAGCTGACATTGCACCATTGCACTCCAGCCTGGCCAACAAGAGTGAAACTCAGTCTCAAAAAAAAAAAAAAAAAGAAAAAATGATAATATGGTGGGTAGGGTATTGGGAAGTAGGGAATGCTGATTGGTCAGGTTGCAGATGGAATCATAAGGGGTCAAAGTGAGGTTTTCTTGATGTCTTCTGTTCCTGGGTGGCATGACAGAAATGGTTGAGCCAGATTACTGGTCTAGGTGGTGTCAGCTGACCCATCCAGAGCAGGGTCTGCAAAATATATCAAGTACTGATCTTAGGTTTTACAACAGTGATGTTATCCTCAGGAGCAATTTGGGGAGGTTCAGACTCTTGGAACCAGAGGCTGCATGACCCCTAAATTGTATTTCTAATCTTGTAGCTAATTTATTAGTCCTGCAAAGGCAGACTGGGCAAGAAGGGGGTGTGTTAGGGAAAGGGCTATTATCAGTTCTTTTTCGAGTCAAACCATGAACTGAATTCCTTCCCAAAGTTAGTTTGGCCTACGCCTAGGAATGAACAAGGAGAGCTTAAAGGTTAGAAGCAAGATGGAGTTGATTAGGTCTAATCTCTTTCACTGTCTTAATTTCCTCAGTTATAATTTTTGCAAACGCAGTTTCAAAAAATGCAAGGAACCCAGAATATATAAAATGATCTTGATAAAAAGCTAATTGGGATAACTTACACTTCTTGATTTCAAAACTCACTACAAAGATATAACAATCAAATCAGTGTACTACTGCATAAAGATAGATACAAAATCAGTGGGAAAGAACTGATAATTCAAAAATTAATCCTTACATTTAAGGTTAAATTGTTTTTGCACCTGTGCAAAAACAATTCAATGGGCCCTTTTCAAATGATTCTGGGACAACTGAATTCCCACACCAAATATAATAAAGTGGAATCCCTACCTCAAATCATATACAAATAATTAACTCAAAATGAATCAAAGACATAAACATAGATATAAAATTATAAAATACTTAGAACAATACACATGAGTAAATCTTCATGACCTTGGATTAGTCAATACTTGCTCAGATATGATATCGAACATATGAGTGACAAAAGATAAATAGGCAAACTGGATTTTATTAAAACTAAAAACTTCTGTGCTTCAAAGGACATCCTGAACAATGTGAAAAGAAAGCCCACAAAATAGGAGAAAACATTTGTAAATCATATATCTGGAAAAGGACTTGTATCTCAAAATGAGGAAATAGCAGACAAACTCCAAATGAGGAACACTCTATTAAAACAAAAGGAATGGAGACTATGTTCTTCAAAAATCTCAATGTTCTAAACGAAGAATTGTGTAAATGTTACAGACTAAAGGAGAATAAAATGACATGGTACCTAAATGCGATACCTAGCCCTAGACTGACTCCTGTGCTAAAGAATAAAAAATTACTATAAAGGACATAATTGGTCAATTGACAAAATTGGAATATAGATGTTAAATTAGGTCAAAGCTTTGTATTAATGTTAAATTTAATCAAGTTAATAGCTACTAAAATAATAACTCTTAAAATCAACAATAAAATGACAATATTCCAATTAAAAAACAAGTAAGGAATTTAAAAAGATGTTTCTCCAAAGAAGTTATACCATGTCAAATAAGAACATGGAAGTTGCAAAACATCATTATTCATTATCATCACTGCATTTGCAAAAATGTAAATCAAAACCACAAATCAAAAACAACCAGCTCACACTCACTAGGATGGCTATAATTTGAAAAAAAAGGAAAATAACAAGTGTTGGTGAGAATGTTAAGAAACTGGAACAATTACACATTGCTGTGGATGGAGAATGTAAAGTGGGGCAGCCTCTATGGGAAACAGTGTGGCAGTTTCTCAGAAAGTGTTTAAAGAGTTACCATGTAGTCCAGAAATTTCATCACTAGGTATATGCCCAAAATAATTGAAAACATATGTCTACAAAACACTTATACATGAAAATTTATAACAGCATTTTTATAATAGCCAAAAAGTGAGAATAATCCAAATGCCTATGAACTGATAAACAGATAAGCAAAATGCGGTATATCCATGGAATGAAATATTATTCAGCTATAAAAAAAGTGCTAAGAATGCCATGCTAAGACATGGGCGAACCTTAAAAATACCATGCTATGTGAAGGAAGCCAGACACTTAAAGGCCACATATCATATGATTTCATTTACATGGAATGTCCATAATAGGCAAATTCATAGAAACAGCAAGTAGATTAGCATTTCCTGTGAGCTGGAAAGAGGGTCAGAAATGCCTGTTAATGGATATTAGGGATTTTTTTTAGGAGGCTATGAAAATTTCTGAACTTACAGAGTGATGATTGCACAACTCTGAATACACAAAAAATATCAAAGGTTTTATTTCGTAAGGTGAACTTTATGGCATGTGGATTATATCTCAATAAAACTTTTAAGAAACAATAGACAAACAAAAAGAAAACAAAAAGAACACCAATATCAATGACAAGAAGAATTATTTCTTACCCCCAACTTTTCTCAGTCCAGGCATTATTCTTTTTTGTTTAGCTCTATTGAAATATAGTTGATATACACAAAATTGCACATATTTAATATATACATTTTGATAAGTTTGAACACCTGTATAGACCCACGATACCACCACCACAATCATACTAATCATATCTGTCAGCTCCAAAAATTTCCTTGTGTTCTTTCTTGTTCTTTCTGTAGTAAGAACATTTCAAATGAGATGTATTCTTTTAACATACGTTAAAATGTACAACACCATATTGTTAACTATAGGCACCATGTTGTACAGAAAAATCTTAGAATTATTCATCTTGCATAACTGAAACTTTACATCCAATGAGGAAAAATTCCCCATGTCCTTCTTACCCCAGGCTCTGGCAGCTAATAGGCATTTCCCTGCTTCTATGAGTTTGACTATTTTAGATACATTATGTAAGTGGAATCATGCAATGTTTGTCCTGCGACTCACTTATTTCATTTAGCATAATATTCTCTATGTTCATTCATGTTGTCACAAATGGTAGTGTTTCCTTTATTAAGGCTAAACACTGTGCCATTTTATGCATATACCGTATTTTTAAATCCATTCATCTGCTTGTGGGTATTTAGTTGTTTCTATATCTTGGATATTGCAAATAATGCTGTAGTGTTCATGGAAGTACCGATATTTCTTCAGGATCCTGATTTCAGATCTTTTGAATATATACCCAGAAGTGAGATTGCTTATGAAAGGAAGAAAAGAAAAACTAAACCTTAAGAATAAGCTTAAGTAAAGATGTGAAAACTATAGTTTTCACTGAAAATTATAAAACATGGATGAAAAAATTTAAAGATTTAATATTGTTAAAATGTCCTCATTACCCAAAGCAATCTATACATTCAGTGAAATGCCTATCAACATTCCAATAACATTTTTCACAGAAATAAAAAAAGAATCCTAAAGTTTAAATGGAACAACAACAAAAAAACCCCATATACCAACATGATCTTAAGAAGAAAGTTGGAGGCATTACACTTCCTGCTTTCAAAATATTACAAAGCTATGATAATTAAAACAGCATGGTACTGACATTAAGACAGACATATAGACCTATGAGACAGCATACAGATCCAGAAATAAACTCTCACATACATTGTCAGTTGATCTTTGAGAAGCATTCCAAGAACACACAATTGAGAAAAAATATTTTCTTCAACAACTGGTATTGAAAAAATGAAACATCCACATGCAAAAGAATAAAATTAGACAGTTATCTTACACCACACACAAAAATAAACTCAAAATAATGACATAAACATAAGACCTAAAACTATAAAACCACAAAACTCCTAGGGGGAAAAAAAAAGAAACTCGGGGGAAAAAAAAGAATCTCAGGGGAAAAAGCTTCTTGACATTGGCCTTGGTAATGATTTTTGGATATGACATTAAAAACACAGGGGAAAAAAAGCAAAAAATTATAAGAAAGACTACATCAAACTAAAGATCTTGTGCACAGCAAAAGAAACAATCAATGGAATAAAAAAGACAACCTATGAAACAGGAGAAAATATTTTCAAACCATTCATCTGATAAGGAGTTAATATCCAAAATACAAAAAAAAATCACCTACTTCTCCATAGCAAAACGAAACAAAATACAAGTAACCCAATTTTTAGAAAGGACAAAAGACTTCAATAAGCATTTCTGGAAAGAAGAAAGACAAATGGCCACTTGATTTAGGTTTAGGAAAAAGTGTTAATCATCAGGGAAATGCACATTAAAGCCACAGAATTATCACCTCATGTCTTACCTGTTAGGATAGATATTATCCACACCCACACCTACCTATGAAGAAAAAAGTGTTGGCAAGTATGTGAAGAAATTAGAACTCTTGTACGCTGCTGGTAACAATGAAGAATGATGCAGCTATTATGGAAGACTGTATGAGGGCCCCTCAAAAATTAAAAAAAAAATAAAACTACTAGCATCACTCTTAGGAAATAGATTTCCTGGTGTTTTTGATGCATCCACATATTTCCTTAGCTATAACATGAAAATACATTTGTTATTTTTCACTCAGATTGTTTTTCAATGTGGTATTCTTTTCCTAAATGATATCTCCCAAACATATTTTCCTTTCTTTAAATTTAGATCACCTTCTCTGTAATTCTGGGGCCTATTAAGAGCTTGGCAGATAAACAATATTTTGCAAATGTTGAACCAAATGAAAGCAATGTACTTTAGTCTCAGCCTTTGTTAACTCATTGATGACTTTAGATGGGTTAGTTATATCATCCTGCTCAGCCTCGGTTTTCACATCTTCAAAATGTGGATAACAATAAATTGTTTCCACAGTTTTACTGTTTAGATGAAATGAGATCATAACTGAGGACCTCTATTCTGAATTTTATTTTTTATTCACTTGTATCTCTAAAATATATTCAAATATCAATATCAATGTGGATAAACCACATTGCTAATTCTTTCATTTCTATTATTGTGCTTAATTATTTTTACAAACACATATTGTGCTAATGATATGCTGGATTTAAGTAATTTATACATTTTAACAAACTGCATCTGCCTAATTACCCTATGAATTGGGTTCTATTATACCTATTTTATAGATGAGTACATTGAGGCACAGATAAGCTGCCTAGGTTTATGTCATGATTCACAGAGTTTGGATTTAAATCCATTCGTGGTGGTTTAATCACTCCACCATTCTGTCTCTTGGCTGGAAGAAACATATATTCTCAGGATATCCAGCAAATATTTTTATAAAATGTTAAAACACAAGAAACAAAGTTGGTGTATATATGTATTTTAATATATACTCAAAATTTCTGTCCCCAAAATGTTGCCCAGCCCTACATAGACCACTGGAGGTCCAGAGCTGTGCTTCTCGACCTGTAATATGTATATAAATCACCAAGGGTCTTGTTAAAATGAAGACACTTTTTCACTTGGTTTGGAGTGACCCAAATGTCTGCATTTTTAATAAGTTCTCAGCTGCTGTTGATATCATTGGTGGATGGGTAAGACTGTCGGCAGCAAGGTTACAAACCCCTGGAGGCTATAGACAGGAAGTGTTGTGATAGTGATGGAGTTTTAGGATGATAGTGATGGAGTTTTAGGATGATTTTTCAGGAAAAGATGAGGCTGGAGAAATCTGAACACCTTCAGATATCTTTTTCTGTCTTAAGTTCTCTTCGCATTTTCTTGCAGTATAATTACTTTAAGCCTTTCAAGTTTTATTTTATATAATACAGAAAAATCAAATTCTTATCCATGTCCAAATTATCACAATTAGTTTGCAGATATCTTACAGTCAGAATATGAATTATATACCTGACTATCACACAGGATAAAGCAAATTCTAATATCCATGGTAAGAAAGCAATCACTTTCAGATAGAATGGAGGGCTGAGATTCAGAGTTATTTGGATTCTGCTAAGATGGTAGCAGAAGAAACAGAGGACATAAGGTATGCAAAAGACCCTGGAAAAGAAGTGAAAATTCAGTTTGCGAATAGTGTGTATGAGGTGGTGAAGGGATCTGGCCAAGATCATTTTAGGCAGTTCCAGGACCCACTTAATGCTGCAAGTATGCCACTTTCTGACAGCAAACAGCTGCTTGAGAAGGGATACCCTCAGGAGTGAAGCTGATAGCAGAAGAGGAACATCTGGAAGAGAGACACAGGGGTGAGATGCCTCCCTTGTGGCACCTCAGCCTATGTTTCAGAAAATGCAGTGCTCACAGAACTTTTACTGCTTCCAAAAGCACATGACTCCTAATTATGGAATCAGGAGCATTTGTAGTTAGTTTACAACCTTGATTACCTCATTTGTCATACAATTTTAGCAATGGTTCTCTCATTATTTATATACACCAGGCAGGGAAGAAGGAATGGGAAGCGAGGGAGAAAGACACAGTCCCAAACATCAACGTACTCATTGTTCAGAGAGAATAATAGAAAATTGTAATTAAAGAGGATAATTTCTATAACATAGGTACTTTCAGGCACAAAGGGAAAGCATGTTGGGAGAGTCATTCTGCCTGAATCAATTGACAAAAGGGACAGTTTGTAGATTATGTGACCCAGGGAGCAACAAGGAGTCTGCTTCTCCAGATCTTTCCCAATAACCTGATTTTTTTTTTAAAGCATCTGCTTTAGATCTGTAGATGGAAAAGGTGAGGTCAGTAGCAAGGACAGCCTCTGTTAAAATCTGGCCTACTTAGGGTGCAATGCCAAGAGTCCTTGGCCTAATCTTATTTAGAATAGCACATTAATGACTTTGCAAGGAACAGAGATTTTATTAAACTTGACAATGCTGTTTCATTAATTAACACAACATTCCACCAACACTCATGCATTCGTTCCTTTACCAATTCAAAAACATTTATTAAAGAATTTCTCAAGTATACCAACCTATCATCAAGCTTCTTCACATGTTTGAAACTCATTTCATGTTAAAGCCTGTCATTACATGCCTATATTTAGCTATTTATTTGAAGATGATGAAATGCTTAAGACAAATAACTTCATAAACTGATAACATTCAAACCTTTCCTGTTAAATGATAAAAGTCAAATGCCTTTGTTCAAAACATCATAAAAAAATCACACTGGGCTATAGCCAATCTTAGAGGCTGTAAAAAAGCAAAACTGAGACCCATAGAAGGAGAATGACTTAGTAAAGGTCACACTGCTAATTGACAGCTGTGACATTTAGAATTTAAGTTTTGCTCCAGTGAGTTTCTTTTTGAGAAAATGGAGTTTTGCAGAAATCAAGCAAATAACCTGACAAGGTAGAGATTTCACTGATGGTAGGGGGAAAGCTTCAGAAAGACTGGGAGAAGCTGAGAGAAACAGCAGAGAAGGGAAGGAATGATGGTATATGTGATGTGTCCATTAGAGTTTATTTTAAAGGAATCCTCAGTCTCTCAGTGAGGTGGCAGAGCACCATGCATTGAAGGACAGATGATGACATTGCTTGGCTTTGGATCCCAGTTCAGTCTGCTACTGGTGATGTGAACTTCACCTACGTATTGAAACTCTGTGTCTTAGATACTCCATCTGAAAAGTGCAGGAAAATAATACACTATCTCACAAATTACTGAGAAGATTAAATTATGTTCGCACATTTCAGAGGAAGTGAATAGCCTACTCTCCAAGTTGTGTTAATTCTTATTAATTATGGCACTGGCCTCCAGGAGGACTGTGTTTGTCCTGAATTTGCTGCTCTTATGGAGAAATAGAATCGTTGAGGAGGAAAGCTTGAATGATGAAGACCTTGGGGACTTACTGTTCAACATGTAAATTTTGAGTTCCAAGGTGAGGGATGGAGTTGTAAAGTACATATTCTTCTGTGTCACTAGAAAATCAATCACACTGATGTGAGTGGATACAGCAGTGCAATCTGGAGATAAAAGGAGAAACATTTAAAAGCATGTGTAGTACAAATGGATGAATGGTTAAAACACAATGTCCTCATTTTCTATGGTACAATAATGAAATCCTAAAACATCAGATATGTTAATGATCATTGTAAGCATATTAGGGATCATTTAGTCCGCAGGACCATTTTACAGATATGGATCCTGATATTTTCGAAAGCAATTTTTATCAAGATCACATATTACCACATAGAATAATTGGAAGACAACTCAAAGGTTCTTGACTTTCAGTCTAGTAAACCCAGGCAAGTAGAGTTAGTCCTAACCAAATTAGCATGGGCAGCATTAGCATCTTTTACACGTGGATTCCCTATTTCTTTGGTATTTCCACCCTGACACACAGTCTGAATTTCTTTTTTGTAGAATGGACCAAAACAGAAAGTATCAGAAGCTAGTGACTAGGCAGCGTAGGGGAGGCAAAAATTTAGCTCTATCCTCTTAGCGTCTCTAGCCGAGCCTAGGGATTAAATAGACGTATAATAGATTAACAAAGGAAAAGCATACACATATGTTTAACATGACTTGGGGCCCTCATGGGAAAATGAAGACCCAAAGAATTAGCAAAACCTAAGTACTTTTATGTCAGGTTGAACAAAAAGGGGCAATTATAGAAAAGTAACTAAATTATGTTGTAATATAAAAAGATGGTAAGAAATTATTTTAATGAAGTCTGTACAGAATTGTGTTAGTTATGACTCCTCTTTGAAAAATGTTTTATTTTCCCTAATTTAGGGAGGACATCTTTCACATGGGAGCTTTTCTCTGCTGCTTTTAGGAAGAAAAAGGAGATTAGGATGCTCTTCCTACATCTGCTGTTTTTCAAGTAACTTTAGCTCAAAATAATCCTAAGCCAAAGTGGCATATGTGAAGTGACATATTCTGCTACTCATCAGTATCCAGGGGCAGGAAAACAGCCAGGAGTTCCAGGAGCTAAGCCTTCCACGTGGAGTAGCAAGACCATCAAGCAAACAGGTTATCAGCACAGCCACTGCAACCAAACATGAGTGAGTGAAGTACAGTCTGTACTCCAAGATTATATTGTGGAGGTCTAAACAGAAACACAGCATCAGAAGAATGTCTGTATTGAACTATGAATAAACAGCAAGGGTGTTACCTCTTCCTAGAACAGTAGAATTTTATGAAGTTTTAGGAACAAGAATTAAAACAAGAACCCAGTTACAGTCACCAGAACCAGGCCATAGGGTCATAGTAGTACTAGCTAACAGACTGACTTAATGTTGAGTCTCAGAGATAGCCTTAGGCCCGTCACATTTCTGCTGATTTTAGGAATAAGTTGCCAAACTTAGGAAATACACAAACTTGCAGTAGGGCTAAGAGTCCTCAGCAATGTCAGTTTGAATGTGTGTGAGCAAAAAAGTCATGAGAATCATTAAAGGTGTCTGGCTTCTCTGGTTGGATGTCCTGTGTGCTTATAATCTTGAGTGCAAGTTAGACCAGTGGTTCATAAACTGAATTGCATTAACACTAGAGTTACTCAGAGATGCTCCTGGCTTCTAAGGTAAAGGCAAAAGGGTCAAATAGTTGGGGATCCCATTTCTCATTCTCCCATTTTTTTAAGTCACCCAGGCTGGATTGCAGTGGCATAATCACAGCTCACTGCAGTCCTTGGACCCAAAAGATCCTTCTGCATCAGCCTCCTGAATAGCTGGGATTATAGGAGCATGACACCACATCCAGCATTTTTTTTTAAATTATGGGGTCAGCTGTGTTGCACAGGCTGGTTTCATAAAATTTTCCCACCACAGCCTCTCAAAATACTGCGATTAGAGATTTGAGCTACCAAACTCAGACTCAGTCTTCTTTTACATATTTCATATGTAGGACTTGATATAAATTTTATTTAAGAAAAAATAATGCTACCAAACTCTGCTCCAAAGGTCCTAGATCTGATACACAACTTTAGAAAAGTTTCAGGATACAAAATCAATCTACAAAAATCAACAAAATTTCCATACACCAACAACTTCCAAGCAGACACCCAAATCAAGAATGCAATCCCATTCACAATAGCAACAAAAAGAATAAAATACCTTTGAGTATGGCTATCAGGGAGGTGAAAGATCTCTACAGTGAGAATTAAAAAAACACTGCTCAAATAAATCGGAGATGACGCAAAGAAATGGAAAAACATTACATGCGCATGGATAAGAAGAATCAATATAGTTAAAATGGCCATACTGCCCAAAGCAACTTACAGGTTCAATGGTATTCCTATCAAACTACCAAAGACATTCTTCATAGAATTAGAAAATAACTATTTAAAAATGCACATAGAACCAAAAAAGAGCCTGAATAGCCAAGGGAAATCTAAGCAAAAAGAACAAAGCAGGGAGCATAGTATTATCTGACTTCAAACTATGTTACAAAGGTACAGTAACCAAAACAGCTTGATACAGGTACAGAAACAGACACATAAGCCAATGGAATACAATAAGTAAATAGCCCAGAAATAATGCAACACACTTACAGCCATCTGATCTTCAACAAAGCAAACAAAACAAGCAATAGGAACAGGACACCCTATTCAACAAATGGTGCTGGGGTAACTGGCTAGCCATGTGCAGAAGATTGAAACTGCACCCCTTTCTTAAACCATATGCAAAAATCAACTCAGGATGGATTAAAGACTTAAATGTAAAACCGAAAACTATAAAAACCCTGGAAGATAACCCAGGCAATATTATTCTGGACATTACAGTGGACAAAGACTTCATGACAAACCTGCCAAAAGCAATTGCAATAAAAGCAAAAATTGACAAATGTGATCTAATTAAACTAAAGAGCTCTGCACAGCAAAAGAAACTACCAACAGGGGAAACAGACAACCTACTGGATGGGAGAAAATTCTCGCTAACTATGCATCTGACAAAGGTCTAATATCCAGGATCTAAAGGAAACTTTAATTTACAAGGAAAAAACAAACAACTCCATTAAAAAGTGGGCAAAAGATATGGAAACTTTTCAGAAGAATATATACATGTTGCCAACAATTATGAATAAAAGCTCAACATTACTGATTATTAGAGAAATGTAAATCAAAACCACAGTGAGATGTCAAAACCACAATGAGATATCATGTCACAATAGTCAGAATGGCTACTATTAAAAAGTCAAAAAATAGCAGATGCTGACAGGTTGCAGAAAAAAAGGAATGCTTATATGCTGTTCATGGGAGTGTAAATCATTTCAACCATTGTGGAAGACAGTGTGGTGATTCCTCAAAGACCAACACAACAGAAATACAATTCAGTCAAGCAATTCCATTACTGGGTATATACCCAAAGGAATATAAGTCATTCTATCATAAAGACACATACACACATATGTTCATTGCAGCACTATTCACAATAGCAAAGACATGGAATCAATCTAAATGCTCATCAGTGGTAGACTCAATAAAAAATGTGGTGCATAAACACCATGGAATACTATGCAGCCATAGAAAAGAATGAGGTCATGTCCTTTGCAGGAACATGGATGAAGGTGGAGGTGACTATTCTTAGCAAGCTAATGCAGGAACAGAAAATCAAATATTGCATGTTCTCACATTTCTCAAATAACTTAAAACAGAATTACTATTCAACCCAGTAATCCCACTACTGGGTATATATCCAAAGGAATAGAAATCTTTCTGTCATAAAGACACATGCACAACTATGTTCATGACAGCACTATTCACAATAGGAAAGACATATAATCAACCTAAATGCCCATTAACTGTAGACTAGATAAAGAAAATATGGGACATATACATTATGAAATACTACACAGCCATAAAAACGAATGAGATCATGTCCTTTGCAGGAACATGGATTGAGCTGGAGGCCATTATCCTAAGTGAACTAATGCAGGAACAGAAAACCAAATACCACATGTTCTTCCTTTTAAGTGGGAACTAAACATTGAGTACACAAGAACACAAAGAAGGGAACAATGGATATCAGGGTCTACTTGAAGGTGGAGGATAGGAGGAGAAAGAAGATTGAAAAACTACCTCTCAGGTACTATGCCTATTACCTGGGTGATGAAATAATCTGTATACCAAACCCTCATGACATGCAATTTACCTATATAACAAACCAACACACATACCTCTGAACCTAAAATAAAAATTAAAAAGTTATAAAAATAAAGTTGAAAAACCACTATTGAATGTCATGTCTCTTTTTCAAATCTTTCCTGTCCTGATTCCCATTCTTTCAAGTTCAAGTACTTGTGAATATTATTAACTTCATTGAACTCAGATATTTACATGCAATAATAGAATTATTCATTCATTTCTTTATCTGTTATCTATCTATTCATTCTCTCAGCAAACACTGAGAGGATATAAAGCACATAAAATATGAAGCACAATCCTGTGTGGTGACAGACATCCAAACAAACAAAAGAGTATTGTCAATAAAGTACAGATATAGATTTCTGACATACAGTGTGGAGAAACAAGCTCTGCTGGGGGTGTGGTGGTGGCGGGGCAGGGGGTGGTGGTGGGGGATGGTGGCAGTTAGGGGCCTCCTGGAATACATAACATGGATTTTTAAAAGGTTGTTTGTCTCAATCACACAATGAGAAGTAACTTGTAGTCTAAGAGACCAACATGTTCAAGGACACACTGAATTTTTTTAAAAAATCAATAGACCACTTCTGCTGGTTACCATATTAACATTGCAACAGGCTCCTCCTGACTCAAAGTTAACTTTTGAGAGCCTTTGTGGAAGGTTGCTAGAAGCCTGTCTTTGGTGTGGCTCTCACCACTGGCTAGCCCTGGAGAGTATAAAATCCTGGCTTTCTTGTACCAAAAAAGTTTTTTTCTGATTTTTTAAAAATCATGGGAAATATCACCTAATACAATTGTTAAAAAATAATTTGTCAGTAAACTACCAGCCCAAGTTAATATGAGGCTTCAGGAAAAAGACCTGACAATGTGACCCTTTAGCAACAGAACATGGTTGTTATTATTATCTTATTTGATGTGATGCTTTGGCATTGGTATGAACACATGCCCAACTTCAGAGGGTCTGATTTTGACAGCAATATCCTTGAGTTCCAGCCTCAGAGGGGGCTGATCTAGCAGGCAAGTGAGAATCCCTTATCATTCAGAGTTGGAGATGTTAGGATATTTTAATCTTTCCAAAAATATCAGGAGCGTTCATTAAAAGCTTGAAGGGATCAATTCATTTATAGACAAAATAAAGACTCGAGAAACTTTGCAGTAGAAACTTCCAGGAGAAAGAACAGAACAGACTGTATTAAGAGAGAAGCTAGTTTTAAGAAACAAAAACATAGAGCTATTTTGTGCCTTGAGATACCACCCTGTCACAAACAAGGGAAGCAATCCCAAATCGGCGTACCTGTCTTCTCTCCTTCTCTTTCCCTCAGGAGCCTACCTAACGATTCGTAAGAGAAGTCCAGGCATGGGCCTCACTTTCACATCTGCACAGCGGTTCTGGACACTGATGGACCTCATGAACAAAGGGCTCTCAGCGGAAGAACACGATATGTCAGAGTTGACAGCCATTGAGAAAGCACATACCTGTGATTTGTGACTCAGAGGCTTTAGGGGTAGGCTGTTTTCTGAGTGTTGCTTTGTTTTTGTGGTTCGTATTTTTTTTTTCTTATTATCTCCCTGTAGACTAAATCATATTCATGATATTTGCAATGGCTTTTTGGTCTGTGACTGCTTAACTCAGATAATTAAACCAAGTGGAGAGTTCTAATGGGATCCATTTCATGGAGTCAGGTCTTTGTGAAGTGGACTTTGATGCATTATACTATTCCCTGGTCCTTGTCCCCTAAATGCTATTATATAGTAAAGAAGGTGACTGGTCTAGGTGAAAACAAAATTAAAAATCAAAAGAAGGCCGAGCGTAGTGGCTCATGCCTGTAATCCCAGCACTCTGGGAGGCGAAGTACGCAGATCACTTGAGGTCAGGAGTTCGAGACCAGCCTGGCCAACATGGTGAAACTCCATCTTGACTAAAAATACAAAAATTAGCTAGGCATGGTGGTAGGCATCTGTAATCTCAGCTACTTGGGAGGCTGAGGCAGGAGACTTACTTGAACCTGGGAGGTAGAAGTTGTAGTGAGCTGAGATCACGCCATTGCACTCCAGCCTGGGCAACAAGAGTGAGACTCTATCTCAAAACAACAACCAAAAAAATCAAAACAGAAGCATCACAACTACCAGAGGACATACACTAAAATAGTTCCTTCCTTCCTTCCTTCTTTTCCTTTCTTCCTTCTTTCTTTTTCTTTCCTTCTTTTGTAAACAAATTAGTTTATGTGTGACATTATCTGTGGTAACAGAAGTGCAGTGAATATCCTTAGCCCACCTGGTACTGAAAAGAGTACCAGGGTATATCTAGATTTATAACTGGGTAGACATATAAATCTAGGTATATTCTAAATTGTCCCATGATTTTCCCTCAGTGAATGGAAGTCAATGAAAAGTTCATCATTGACCATGACACCACCAGAAATCATATTTTGATTTTATCCTAAAAAATTCAGTCAGATTACAGGAAGAGAAAAAAACAACAACAAACGGAAAACCTGAAAGAAGGCCTACAATGAAACTATCAAATATAAACAAGTAACAACATTGGATTGGACTTCAAAATAACATCAGACTTGTTACTACTGATATCAATCTTGCGGAATGGGTGCAATGCCTTGTGAAAGGAACATATCTTGGGCACCCCAGATCACTAACCTAAAAGGAAAATTCAAGCTGGAAACTCCTCAGGGCAAATCTGCCTCTGATTCTATTCAATTATTTTCCTGTTCACTGAGATGGATGCATATTCTGACTGTCTCATTTGGAAAGGCTTATCAGAAACTCAAAAGAATGCAACCATTTGTCTCTCACCTACCGGTGACCTGGAAGCCCCTTCCCTGCTTTGAGTTGTCTCTGCCCTTCTGGACTGAGCTAATGTACTTCTTACATATATTGATTGATGTCTCATGTCTCCCGAAAATGTGTAAAACCAAGCTGTGTCCTGACTACCTTGGGCACATGTCATCAGGACTTCCTGAGGTGGTGTCACGGGCACACATTCTTAAGCTTGGCAAAATAAAATTTCTAAATTAACTGAGACCTGTCTCAGATTGTCTGGGATTATAGCCTTCAACATTCTGGGAGAAAATTATTTTGAAGCCTAATTTTTATATCCAGTTAAATGATAAAATATGAGGAGAAAGATAATAGTAAATATGCAAATACTGAAACAAAAACAAACCAAACCTTGAAAGTTTTATCTGACCAGTGTAGGAAGCTAGGACATGGTCCTTCAAAATCAAGGAAATAACCTAAGAACAAAGAACTCATGTGATCTACAAAACAATGAGCCAAATGCAGAAGTAAAGTGCGCTGAATTTGCAGGTCCTCAGCAATACAGAGACCTGGAGGGCAATCTGTCCACATTGGTGCTGGAGGGCTAGGGCTCTATGAAGAAAGAACAGTGACAAAAAGGGAGACAGTTAACCATCTTATGTGTTTACACTAAGGGATAGTTGATTTAAGCTGCTGTCCTATATTTTGGGATACAGGAATTCCATAAATAAAATAAGTGGCAAATATTAATTGCATGTGAAAAAATTAACAAGGAAAAAAATGTAAGCCTAGTTCATAACATGAGTCAGCAGGGAACACTAGTTCACACTCATGGTAATATAAAACATTGATTTAATCAAATGTAAGAGATTTATTCAAGGATGGAAAGAAGAAATGCACTTACAGAATGCAGTATGTATGTGTGTTTGCCTGTGTATGTGTGTGTGTTATTTTGGGGATAAAATGAAGTTAGATTTAGTATGGACATTGGAAGGGAATGGCCATGCTTCATTCTAAAGTTTAATGTTGTAAATTATACAGTACAACTTCCACTTTGATTGAAACATAAAGTAAGGCTGGGCACAGTGGCTCAGGCCTGTAATCCCAGCACTTTGAGAGGCAGAGGCAGGCAGATCACTTGAGGTCAGGAGTTCAAGACCAGCCTGGGCAACATGGTGAAACTCTTGTGTCTACTAAAAATACAAAAATTAGCCGGGCGTGGTGGTGCATGCCTATAATCCCAGCTACTTAGGTGGCTGAGGCACAAGAATCACTTGAATCCAGGAGGCAGAGGTTGCAGTGAGCAGAGATCTTGCCACTGCACTCCAGCCTGGGCAACAGAGAGACACTCAGCCTCAAAAAACAAAACAAAACAAAATCAGAAACATAAAGTAATATATAGGTCATTTTTTCAGAAGCTGTTGATTCAGACCATTGTGTTCTAGAGTTGATGTTTTGAAGGAGTGACATGCTATCTCTCATAATGCTTAATGTTACTAAAAAAAAAATCTGGGAGAACTTGTGGAAATAGGCAGAGCTGGAAGAAATAAAGGAAAGAGACTGAGGATTGCTACTTCTCTCTTCATAATCAGCCTGTGTGTCATTCCAACATGCATGCTGCAAATTGCTTATTACAAATTCTGAAGTATGGATGCAACTCAGTTGGGTCTTTTTTCTTCTCTTCCCCACCCCTTTCTCTCTCCCCTGCTGCCCAATAATCTACAATTTTGAAAGTGACTTTTGCAAAACTGCTCATCTATCCCCTTTTAAAAATCTAAGGTGTGCTATATAATAATTTGTTTATTTTCTGTGAAAGGAGTTGGGTACTGCTCAGAGCAAATCTGCCTCCCATTCTATTCAAAGTCATCTCTTTGGTCACAGAGACAGATGCATATCTGATTGCCTCCTTTAGAAAGACTTAGCAGAAACTCAAAAGAATGCAACCATCTTTCTTTCACCTACCTGTGACCTGGAAGCCACCAGTCAGGGGTCCTTGCTTTGAGTTTGCGCTGCCTTTCTGGACAGAGCTAATGTACTTCTTACAAACATTGATTGATGTCTCGGGTCTCCCTAAAATGTGTAAAACCAAGCTGTGCCCTGACCACCTTGGGTACATGTCATCAGAACTTCCTGAGGCTGTGTCATGGGTGTTGTCTTCAACCTTGGCCAAATAAACTTTCTAAATCAACTGAGACCTGTCTCTAAATTTTGGGGTTCAGATTCCTATAGCACTTACTCTTATTTATTATGAGTAGGCTGGTTACTTTTTTAAAAAAAATTATGAAACATTTTGTCAGGGTTCTGTTGATTGGGATTTTGAGTTAAATGAGCTTTGTGCTTAATAGTGAACAGTTTTCCTCCTGGAGAAGAAATTGTGCTGGCAGAATTAGGATGAGCCAGTGTTTGAGGCTATTTCTGCCCTCCAGTTCCGCCTTTCAAATTGCATTTTTTTTTCCTGAGAAATGATAATGTTAAAAATTTGGCCAGGTGTCTTTTTTGAATGTTAAAGACCAGACAGACCAAGCTCTGATTTGCCAGTCAGTTACTGGAGACTAATTTCAGGGTTTTATTTTAGATATCTAGCTTTACTAGCTTCACTGATTCACTAGCTTTATATTTGTTGCATATGTCACTAAGTAACAACTTATCTAATTTGTTAGGGACACGTGTGACCCTCACTGTCATTAACTCAGTTTCAGCTACACAAATTTGTGAGGATTCAATATATTGATGGATTAATGTCTGGTACACTATCCATTGTGAGAAAATGTGATGAATAACCCTGTTTGTAAATGAGATTCTGTAGCCAATGTTTGGCCTACTTAGGAGAGCAAATATACCTAATGGGTTTCATATATTAGCTATCTCTATGCTGATCGATTCTGCTTCTGATATGGCCAATAGATACATTAAAAGGGTTGCTCCTTGAAAACAGGTCCTAAGCAATATATTCTGATTACCAAGGGATTTTGAAAGTAAAGTTTTCTTTTATCTGCAAAGGCTTACTTGCCTTTAGCTAGAAATAATCTCTTCTTTTTTTAGCTATGAATTTATTTAGGTATTTATCCAACATGAATTTATTCAGTATTGGGTTTCAAAGATGAATGAGACATGCTCTGTTCTCAAAGTTTGTATAGTTCATTAGAAAACAGATATGTAAAGGATTAGGGCAAATTTATTATTTTAAAAGTGCAATTGTTCTGTTTATTTAAGGTATGGATGGCTCAAAGGGACAAAAATGCTAAGATTTTCTCCTAAGGGGACAGATGACATAGTGGGTTCCAAATGGAGAGAATGATGCCCACATAACTCAAAGAAACATATTTCTTATGGGAAAAGTAATCTGTAGCTCTGCACCATGAGAGAAGGCTAGAGATATAGCTGTATGCCATGAGAAAACAGTTCATATAATAAACTCTAGGACCTGAAAGTGTAGACAAAATGAGATGCCAGTAGAGATCTGTTGATGGTCATAAACAAATGAATAATGTGAATAGAATTTCAATTAGAAGGCTGTGCAGAGTGGTTATAAACCTGGAGACAGGGCTTTAGTTAAGGTACCAAGTAAATCAAATATGAAAAAAGGTGGACCAGACATTCCTGCCATCAATGTCAAAGAGTTTCAATTTCTCCACATTTTCATCAATACTTATTATTTTCCATTGTTTTTGATTAGGTATGAAGTAGGTGTGAAGTGATGTGACATGATATTTTATGTAACTGTTATATATATCTTTTACTCAATATGTCCTACATTACCAAACATACAGCAGATTATATATATATGTATATGTATTATATATATAAAAATACAAATGTGTAACTGTCATTAACTCAATTTGAGCTACACAAATATTTTAAATTTATAAAACTACATATGTATTATATATACACACATACACACACACTTATATATGTCATTTGATTATAATTCAAATCAGGACGAATCCTTATAGAAAAGTTTTCTTTAGGTGTATATTTACAGAAATTTGGAATATTTTTATAGCCAACATAAAATATTGTGGATGTACAGTGACAAACTGTGGATATTCCTAAAAGGGAATGCTAACAGCAATGAGAATAAGCTAGCTACTGCTGCACGAGAAAAGAATGGATGAAAATCACAAAGATAATGCTCAAAAAAAAGAAGTTGCACACAAAAGACTACATATAATATAATACCATTTATATTTTAAAAACATACAAAAATATATGATGTTGGTAGTCAGCATAGATGTTTTAGCCTTGGATAACTAATGCCTGCAAGGAGATATGAGGAGGGTCTAGTCAAGTTCTGTTTCTTGTTGTAGGTGCCTGTTACACGTGTGTGTTCACTTCACCAAAATTCCTCAAGCTGTAAACTTATAATTTTTATACTTTTCTTCATAGGGTTTTTGCAATTAGTAAAGGAAGGAGAGGAAACAAAAACATAAGAGTTTTCTGTTTGATAAAAGCTTTCATGGATTTTTTTCTGAAGCTGAATTACACAAGTTTAAATCTTGGCCCAGTCCAGAAACAGCCATGAGACATGGATTATCACATGTCAAATATCAGTGCCTCAGTTGCCGTAACTGTAAGACTGGAGGATACATATTTCCATGAAGGGTTTTTTAATGACTAAAATATATAATATGTATATTTTTCTGCCACATAATAAACACTTAGTAAGTATTGCCTCTCTTTCTCTCCATCCATCATATGTGTGGTATCACAAAGCTGAAGTTATTTTTAGCAGTTAACATGATGAAATTTTAATAACATCTTGCAACTATTTAGGATATTTATAATTAGCCTATTTAAGAGTAAATTAAAATAATCAGCCTTTCTTTTAATTTTCTCATTTTAGAATAGCTAAAAAAGTAAATATAAATTTTTATTTGAGATATTTGTGTGGTTCCATAAGTTATCATAAATTATAACTTAGAGAAAGAAGAAAGATTCCTGAGCAGATTTTCTTCAGCCATAGCTCATGGATTTTCTCATTTTCTCATTTTTAGCTCATTATATATTCAGGTTTTTAAATCATACTCCACCAACCCTGAGGTTCTGAATAATAAGTCATGATTTCTGTCTTAGAAGTTTGCATTTTCAAAATTGTTAGGTGACTGTAATAGTTACTTTATGGACCATATTTTAAGAAATACTGTTGTTCTTGTCTTCATCCTATTTTACCTCCATCCTTTTTATTTATTTTTTATTTTTTTCCTCTGCTGTGCTCAGTATTGCCGGGATTACACAGTGAGAGGAAGAGAAAATTAGTAGTGTCCCTCTCCCTCACCTCAGAGTGGATATTTAACAGTCCAGGTGTGAGTTAAGGGCAGAGTCCCATCCATGACTCTACCTGGCACCTGAGAGCTCCACCTTGGTTTCATATTCCACCAGTTAACCCTTGATCCTCAGGCTCCATGACATCACAGCCTCCCTTTGTCCCTCTACCCTGAGGAGTGAAAGCGCTTTCCTGCTTTGACTAATGCTCAGATTGCCAGGCCCTCCTCTTTTTGGCTTCTTAGCTATTCTCTCACATTTTAAACCAATTCCCTGTGCTAAATTTCATGTACTTTAAATATTTGATTGAGTTTCTCGTTTCTGGTTTTAACCATAACTGTTATAACTCCCATAGTTTTTTGCCCTGACATTAAATTCATGATTTCAAATGTCAACTGTATTAATTAATTCCAAATTCAAGCTGCACTTAATGCCAGCCAACTGGAGTACAGGAATCAAATTGGTGACATGGAGCCAAGTATAAGGGTTAAACAGAAACACTTCTATGACAGGTCCTATTGAATTAGCAAGTAAGGATTTCATTTTTTCATTTATTCATATATTTATTGAAGTACAGAAGGCCACGAAGAGATAAAAAGAGGGAGAAAAATAGGTAAAAATGCTCACTGACTTGTTTTACTCATTAAGGTTGCCACACAACATCAAGCTAATAAAATAAGATTCAAAGACTACTGGAACTGAGCTCATTAAATCTTTCGGGGTCCACCATGATGCTTTGCATTAAGACTCCATGGAGGAAGAGGTAACTCCAATGCCTTTGTTTTTTTTCTTTCACCACAATGGCTTTTTAAATGTTGCTTTAATTGACCAATAAAAATTGTGTGTGTAAGGTATATAACATGATTTTTTTTATTTTAAGGGAGACAGGGTGTCACTCTGTCACCCAGGTTGGAGTGCAGTGGTGTGATCATAGCTCACCTCAAACTCCTGGGCTCAAGCAATATTCCTACCTCAGCCTCTCAAGATGCTAGAACTACAGGCACATGCCACCATGCCCGGGTATTTTTTTTTTTTTTAATTTTTAAATGTTTTTGTAGAGGTGCGGTCCCGTTATATTTCTCAGATGGCCCCCTGGCCTCCCAAAGTGCAGAGATTATAGGCGTGAGCCACCAAACCCAGCCTTCATAATGTTTTGAGATATATATATATATATACGCATTGTGGAGGAGCTAAATTAAGCTAATTAACATGCATTAACTTACATACTTTTCATTTTTTACTATGAGAACCCTTAAAATGTACTCAGCAATTTTCAAGTATAGAATTGTGAAAGGAAAATAAAAATCTGGGACTCTAATTTCACTAGGCCAAAAGAAAACAATGTAAGCTGAAAACTGAGTTGTGCAAGAAACTACCTTTCCTTTTGTTTCTAAGCATATAGCTACAGATAAAAAGTTAAATATCTCCACAAGTAGCTACTCTGTGTTCACCTTATCTTATGTGAAGTGCTGATTTACTGAGTGTGAGACAAATGTATAATTGACTATTCCCCTACCTGTTCCTTTTCTCTTGCAACATGTAGGTTCAGTAATGTGACCATACCCTCCCTCTTCCCCTTCCAGCTTGCCTTTCCCTCTTTAAATACTGAACCCCTCCAAATCATCTTTGGAGAAAGGCATCGACCTATCTCCTAGGCATGTATCCTTAACCTTGGCAAAATAAACTTCTAAATTTACTGAGAACTGTCCCAGATACTTTTTGATTTACAGAATACATTGTTATTAACTATAGTCACCATGATGTTCAATAGATGTCTTGAACTTATCCCTCCAATAACTTTTATTTCTGTTTCATGCTGCAAAGATTCTAGACTAGAACTGTGAAGCCATGGACTCTTATCCCAACTTTGCCACTCAGTCAGCAAGTGACTTGGGGCCTTGTTCTGTCAATATATAAAATTAGGAAGTTCTGAGCAAATCTCTACCTGTAATACACTGTGATTCTTGCTCATGTGGCTTTCTGGGTTTTTTTTTTTTTTGCTTGGTTTGATTGTTTGGTTATTTTTCTCCTTAGGCAGCAAGAAATAGCTGACATTAAATGACTCAATGCTAATGAAATGTATGAGTGCTTATAATGCCAACAGAAAAAAATTAATCACCTAAATAACTGCACATACGCGCTTTCCTGCGTAGCAACAGCCCTCTTCCTACTACAATAGCCAGGTCACACAATTTGGGCAGAATTATGATGCAACTTTGCTTAACTTGTCACAGAGATAATTGTATTACATTTGCACTGATGACATTTTATTCTACAGTAAAAAAAGACTGAGTTTTATACAAATTCTTAATATATTGTTAAGAATTAATATTCCTAATATGTTATTATTAAAATATGCTCAAAAAATTTTGAGGAATTTTAAATTTATCTTCAAACATATTTATTTGTAGTGATGCACAAAATATATCTAATTGTAGTGAGTTCACTATTTATCATTTATTGCATATCAATTTTAAAATATTTTAAAAATAAATTCTCAAAATTACAAATGAGGAAAGAAAGAGCAAGTGAAATACTTTTCTTTTTATGAAGAATTTCTATACACGCTCAT
The DNA here is from genome assembly GCF_000001405.40 of Homo sapiens. Taxonomy (NCBI): domain Eukaryota; kingdom Metazoa; phylum Chordata; class Mammalia; order Primates; family Hominidae; genus Homo; species Homo sapiens. The sequence goes on from NC_000002.12 coordinate 83,271,960, forward strand.
CTAATCTTATGATTCTCTAATCTGATGTGTTAACTAAGCTCTGGAATCCCCAGAACTTCTGACCCATCCAACATCTCTGCCCATTTTTCTTATTAAACTATCAATTTCCTTTAGCTTTTCCTGAACTTCCCTTCTAAGATTAATTGTAGCATTCATTTTTGTTCACAGATAGTTTTTGTCATTATTACTTTATATTTACCATCCCCTTTTTATGCTCCTTAAATCCATATTGTTTACTTCCTTCTTCTTAACATCATAATGGGGACCATACTTCACTATTAGAGTGTTTCCTGTGCTCTATCACTCGTCACTGTCTTCACTCTTCAGGGCTGCACCCTCAAGGTAAAGAAACAAGGATGTATGCCTTTTCACTTTTGACAATGACCAAATGCTACATAAGATTTGTAAGACTACCATAACCATATATATATATATATATAAACACCCACATGTATAAATGTGTGTGTGTGTATATATATATATATATAGTTCTGATATATATATGGTTCTGATATATATATATGTATATGTATATATATATGGTTCTGATATATATATATGTATATGTGTATATATATATGGTTCTGATGTATATGTACATCAGAATGAAATATTCTAGAACCAAAAATGAACAATTGACATTTTGTCATATTTGCTTTATGTCTTGTGTATGCATAACTTCTCTTAAGCCATCAATTATTACCTAACAACTAAATTCCACAACCTATAATCAATCAACATCCATAAGTGATGTGTTTGTATGACTTCATTGTCACTATTCAGTGAATCTTGCGTCTTACAGCTCTCTCCTGTTAATCTCCAATTCCATTGGCCTTCTTTGATACTGCCATTAGGAGAAGCTCAATATTCTACCCAACTCCACTCTCGGCTTTTCTTCAAAATGACTTAGGATGACAGCAAGAGAATATTTTATGTTTTGGGTATTTTCTTTCTTAGGAATTTGAATTTCTATTTTGATCTAGCTGGATGGTAAGATTTGCTTGAGCCTTCTGGTGATTAGGCATCTCCTATAAAGATACTTTGATTAGCTAATTTGAAAAGATCTGCATCAGGTCTTTCGGAAAAATCTCTTTTAATGCTCCATTGTTTTTCTTGGTTTGTATTTTCCTTTATTTCCTTTTTCTCACCATTGTATTAATAAAAATTCTGAAGATTCTAAATTAAGGTACAAGCCTAAGAAAACACCAAGAACTAGTGTTGACATACTTTTACGGTTCTGAGACCTAGGTCTACCTGGAGAAAAGACAGAAGGAATCCTTGTACTTCTACATCATTAAACACAGTTACCTGGAGAACAGATTACGGCCTGAAGCAAATGCTTATAGAAAAACATAATAATGCCTAGAGCACACTTTCATTATCTCTCTTGTAAACCTAGTACAGATATAAGAAGTTTCTCAGTGTCAAGGTTTCCTTATCAGCCAAAAATATTTGGATGAAGGTGCTTGCTTCTTTTGTATGCTGGTGTATTAAAGCTTGCTGGTGTTTCCTGCTCTATTCATTCTTCAACAGTACATGATTCCCAGAATTCAAAATGTGATCCTGTTTGTTCTTTGCTCTGTATTCACAGAGTGACCTTATTTGTTTTCAGTTTTTCAACTGCTATTTCCATGTCATTAAGTACAAAATCTGTAGTCTTATCTGAAAATGCTCTCATGTGATAAACACATTTCATAATGCCTAGTGGACATTTTTATATGCAAATTCAGTGGCACTTAACATGTATGCAAGATAATTTATTATCTGTCTTACAATTTATGTCCCATTTATGACCCAATTCTCACATTTCTTTATTTCTCTTAATAATACTACATTTCAAAAAATTGTTTAAAGTTAAAAACACAACAAAAATGACAAAAAAACTTGGTGCACAATATGTGTCTCAACTCTGTGTAAATAGTCACTATATTCTGTCAATTGTAATTTAGCTATATCCTTAAATCTGATTTTTCTTTCTACCTATGCTGCCATTCATTTTATTGAGTCCTTATTATCTATTGCTTGAATTTCTTACTGCTGTCCATGCCAATGAGTTTATGATCACTCCAGACCATCTAGCACATGGCTTTTCACTTCCCACAACCATGGGGTAAACCTTATGCCTTACTCCTGTCTATATTTGCATTCTCCTTTCTCACTACCAGTATAACACTGAATTTCTCTCCATTACATAGATTAAATAGGACCAAAAATCAGCTCTATAGCTTTGCATTTAAAATGTCATTTGCCCTAAATGTTATTCCCTACTTGTATATGCGACATATTCATGCTCATTTTTTCAGGATTTCAAAAAAGTTTTTTTTTTTTTTTTTTTTTTGAGATGTAGTCTCACTTTGTTGCCCAGGCTGGAGTGCAATAGCATCGTCCTGGCTCACTACAACCTCTGCCTCCCAGGTTCAAGCAATTCTCCTGTCTCAGCCTCCTGAGTAGCTGGGATTACAGGCACCCACCACCATTTTTTTGTATTTTTAGTAGAGGTGGGGTTTTACCATGTTGGACAGGCTGGTCTCAAACTGCTGACATCAAGTGATCCGCCCCCCTCGGCCTCTCAAAGTGCTGGGATTACAGGCGTAAGCCACCATGCCCTGCCCAAAAAAGTATTTGTTTAATAAATTTTTTTCTTAACAACTGGAGAGCGAGTTAGCAGCTCAAATATCACATCCAACTGATATAATGTTAATAACATAATTTAAAGACATGTTTGTATGAGAATTCAGGGGTACAGACATCATATCTTCTTCAATCCATCTAGACATCCTTGAATGTATCCAACAATAGGGAAAGTTTATTACATACCTCGTGCTAGATAAAGAAAAGACAGAGAAAAAGAAATACCTACTGTACGCTTAAAAGAAATTCTCTCTGATCATGGGAAAGACATACAAACGAACTTTAAGAGTACATATGTGCAATGTAAAAACATAAACATGATATCTAGATAGCTCCAAGGGGAGAGTGATTACCTTTGTCTTGTACATAACCAGAGGAGGATTGCTTTCAGAAGTGATGTCTGATATGAAATTCTATGGATGAATTTGCATGGGCCAGGTGTATTGGATGGGGCTGGAGAGGACATTCCAAAGACAGAGGATGACACATACTAAAGCAATGTCTGTCTATTGAATTAATTGTAATGTTGCATTCAATCGTTCAACCAATGTTTCTGATAACTATTATATGTAAGGAACATGTGGTATTGAGGATTAAGGATTCAGACATGCTCTTGCATTCAGAGTTCAGAATGTACTATTATTACTCACTATCAGAATGATAAATATAATTGCCCAAATAGTAAGGATTAGCTTTCTGCCCCATTAATGCTTGGCATGGTTTATCAATAAGGCAGCAAATACACTGCAAGCAATTCATTATGATTGTCTTTCACATTAGCAAATATGAAATGATCAGAGAAAGCTCTGAAAACCCAAAATGCACTAAACTACAAAAACAAGAAAGCAATGTTCTACTAGTTGGAACTCCCAAAGATTTATTTTCCCCAGAAGCATGAAAATGGATGGGCTTTTTGATTTTTATCCCAGCGCCTGTTCATTCTATTCACCAAGCTGCTTAATCACGTGCTTCTGCCAAAAGAGTGGCAGGCCATATTTCCTAATACGTTTTAATAGTTAAAATTACAAAATAGTAGATGTGATTTATTTGATGTAGCAACAACAATTTGGGATACTCCCAAATGTTCTCCTGGGCTATTTTAGGCAAAAATCATCCTCTGGAAAGGGGAAATGTTTGGTATAAATGCAGTCAAATCTTGATTGAAGGCACTAAAATTTAAGGAGAAACAGTGGATAATAAAAGAACAGGTTTTTTAAGCATATGCATATATTTGCTGTGTCTAATGACACATTACTCTTTAGTTTTTTTTTTTTTTATAGTTAGACATTTAAGCTGATTGATTTATAATCTCTAGCCAAGTACCTACTGACTCAAAACCACCATTTAAAATGTTTGAGGTAGGTCAATGTGGCCTGGCAGAAATTTGAACACACATTTGGTTTTATACATTTCACTGTCCCTTAGAGCTTCTGTTAGATGTGGAGTTTCTCTCCAAGGACATGTCAGAGCTGGGCCTGTATAAGAGCTGATGTGGTCTAGCAAGAAAAAAAAAAACAAAAAAAAAAACACGGAGATCATAGAGAAAATTTTTACTATGGCAGGCAGGTACCTTCTCTCTCCAAGAATAGTATTCTCATAGTATTTAAAGATTGGGAAATAAACAAACACATAAGCAAAAGCATGTTCAACCACCCTAGTGGGCTCAGATGGGTCAGTCCCACTCTAATTGTCAAAAATAGTTGAAACAAACTTTCATCTAAACACAGCAAATAAAAATGCCCATTGCCTTGTCAGATTGGAGCTAATTCAGTGGGAAATCCTCCTTGATTTTCTGTATTATTCCATTCTCACACTGCTGTAAAGAACTACCTGACGAGACTGGGTAACTTATGAAGAAAAGAGGTTTAACTGACTCACAATTCCACAGGCTATACAGGAGGCATGGCTGAGAAGGGAGGCCTCAGGAAACACACAATCATAGCAGAAGGTGAAGGAGAAGCAAGAAGGTCTTCACATGTCCGCAGGAGAGAGAGCGAAGAGGGAAGCACTACACACTTTCAAACAACCAGATCCTATGTGAACTCATTCACTATTAGAACAGCAAGAGGGAAGTCTGCTTTCATAACCCAATCACCTCCCACCAGGCCCCTCTTCTAACACGTGGGAATTATAATCCAACATGAGATTTGGGTGGGGACACAGAGCCAAACCATATCAGTCTTCAGCATGTAAAAACAACAAAGTAAAACAAAAACAAACCTAATTTTTTAAATCATCTTTCTTGCTATATTTCAATACTCAGGAAATTCAATGTACCTTCCTAGAAATTCAGGTGACCTTCCTGTAAATTAATCATTATTTGTCTAACTACTTAACCTCATTAAAATCCTGAAAGCTCTGTTGTGTCACAATTTTGATAATGCCACACAGGCTGATCTATAGGTTAGAGGCAGTTTTGATTGCTCTTTTATGATGGGCAGTTAGGAATAAATGTCACAGACTCACAAAATGATTATAAGTTTTAAATATACTCATAAGCTCCAAATTTACTCACACACATGCACAACACAAATATTAGAGTGACTAATGTTACTTTTAGTGAATTTTGTTTTGTCAGATGAGAAAATGCCAACAAATTAGAGCATAACCTACAACTCTGCATTATGAGCTTCTCAAAATTAACAATAATATCCACCTGACAAATAACACATCGCAGTTGACTATTTTACAAAGGGTAGTGACTCCCAGGAGGCTAATCTAAAAACTTGTCTTCTCATCTTTCTAAAGGATGAAGGCAATAGAGAATTAATGTCATGTTTTTCTCTCTCAGGTGATAAAGGGAAAGTTGCTATATTGTTACTTTCTTTTCAGAGATGTAATCTGGCCTGTTACTTCAAACAGGATGGCCAACTAATTCCCAGTGGTTTCACAGCATGAATGAAACAATGGGTTTCTGGGCAATCTCTACAACCAAGTGACTAAGAACTTTATTACCCCAGCACAGTGGCTCATGCCTGTATTCCCAACATTTTGGGAGGTCGAAGTGGGAGGAGCACTTGAGCTCAGAAGTTTGAGACCAGCCTGGGCAACATAGACAGATGGCGTCCTTACTAAAAACAAACAAAAGAAAAGTAGCCAGGTTGATATGGTTTGACTGTGTCCCCACCCAAATTTCATCTTGAACGGTAGTTCCCATAATCCCCAAGTGTTGTGAGAGGGACCCAGCGGGAGGTAATTGAATCATGGGGGCGGTTTCCCCCAAGCTATTATTGTGATAGTAAGTTCTCACGACAGCTGATGATTCTATAAGGGGCTTCCCCCTTTGCTCGGCTCTCATTCTTCTTTTCCTTGCCACCATGTGAAGGATATGTTTGCTTCCCCTTCTGCTATGATTGTAAGTTTCCTGAGGCCTCCCCAGCCATGCCACAATGTGAGTCAATTAAACCTCTTTCCTTTATAAATTACCAAGTCTCAGGTACATCTTTATTAGCAGCATGAGAACAGACTAATACACAGGTGTAATGGCACGTGCCTGTAGTACCAGCTACTCTGTAAACTGAGGCAGGAGGATCTCTTGAGCCTGGAAGATAGAACCTGGGAAGTCGAGGCTGCAGGGATCCATGAGGTGAGGACGCCACTGCTCTTCAGACTGGGTGACAGAGCAAGACTCTGTCTCAAAGACAAAAAGCAAACAAACAAAAAATAACTTTTTGAAAATTGTGGCTGCCTTTCTACCTAAATAGACCAATTTATTTTGACCTTATTTATAATTCTTTGTTTAAGAAATATCTTAGCATAGAAATTGTTTATCCATAGTTAATCTAAGAAATTTTTTGAAAAAAAACAACATGGTACTTTTGAAAACCTGAATCTGGCACCTGCATTCTTTATCCCAGCCAAACACCAAGTGCTCTTTCTCTCATCCTCATTCTCTTACCTGTAGGAACAGGTATGGAACAGAGATTTGGGGAAAACACGGATTGACAGTTATTCCTCTCCAGGTCCCTAAAAGGCATTATACCTTATACCTAAAAATGGAATCAGCATTGACCCTAACCTTCAATAAGTAGTGCCAAGTTCACACACAATGAGCTCCTTCCTCCTTAACAGTGCACTCACGAAGCCTGTTCATGAAATGACCAATGCTGGAAAGCAGCTGTATAAATCCCTAATTGATTAGTGCTATGACCTTGTACACATCATTTCATCTTTCTGAGCCTCATTTTTCTTCATCAGGAAAGTCCAGATATTGCTCTAGCTCCCTTCTGCCTTCAACTAATCATATTTATATAATTATACAAGCAAATTTTTAGATGGATTCACAATTAATGTATTATGCTTTCATTATTATGTATTAACTCAAAAATAAAGAGAAGTAATAAACTGTATTGTTTATTAATAAAACTATATTTTTAAAGTCCTATCATCCCTCACTTCCCCCCAAAATGCTTATATTCTTCATTTTGGAACTTGCATGGCCTAATTCCTATTTTTTTTTTTTTTTTTTTTTTTGAGACAGAGTCGTCTTGCTTTGTTGCCCAGGCTGGAATGCAATGGCATGATCTCAGCTCATTGCAAACCCCATCTCCCAGGTTCCAGTGATTCTCCTGCCTCAGCCTCCCGAGTAGCTGAGACTACAGGCACATGCCATCACGCCTAGCTAACTTTTGTATTTTTATTGGAGACAGGGTTTCACCATGTTGGCCAGGTTGGTTTCAAACTCCTGACCTCAAGTGATCCACCCGCCTTGGCCTCCCAAAATGCTGAGATTAAAGGCTTGAGCCACTGCTCCCAGCCCTAATTACCTCTTAAATGTTCACCTCTTAATACTGTCACATTGGCAATTCCCAAATTTTGGAGCGGGCACATTTAAACCTCAGTGCTTAGACATTCATGCTTTTTGAGAAGATTTACTCATTCCTGCCACGTGGCTACTGGCTGGGTTTGGAAAATGGGTGGCAGTAGCAGGAGTCGGAAGTGCAGCGAGAGAAAGAGGTCAAGTAGGTATCATTCCTAGCCCTCTTTCCTGTCATTCTGACAGTGGCTGCATCCCACAGGACAAATCATCTCAGATGGCCATTCCTTTTCCATGGAAATGGACTCTACGGATCCAGTCCCGTCTTCTGTCATGTGAGGCCTAGGAGTGGGTGGTAAGTGGCTTTCTGTTGTTGCCAGTCTGTCGGGCTCCACTACCCTTACCTATACCCAAATCTCTTGAATAGCCCCTCAATTATTCTATTCATTTTGACCTTCAAGCTTGGCAACTGTTTCCTATGGGGTACTCAATGCTACGGTACTCTGTATACTCTTTTTGATAATTCTTCGAGATAAACCATTTATTATTTTTGTCTTCTCCTAAAATAAAATTAATTTTAACTGTTATTATAATTTTATTAATTACACATGAATGTGACTGAAGAAAACCCACATTTAACCTCTCTTATCAACCCATTCACTTATAAAGCTCTAGTATGGTTCTCCTTTTATTCAAATATGCATGTTTTCTCTCAACAAAAATTTCTGCCTATGTTTCACCGAGACAATGTTTTAGATAGTTTTATGTCTCTACATTTCTTATTGCGGTTGAGAATTGGATTTCGTTAAATTTTGTTTTCGAACTTATGATTTCTGGCATAATGTCACACTGTTTTGTATAACTGTATTGTATGCAGTCACTTCCAATTGCTTTATGAAATCGTTTTATGTAAAATAATTATAATTTTATTTTTTATATTTGTTTCTGTATCATGTATACACAGGCTGGAATTTAAACAGTGATGTTTAATGTAAATGCTTCACAATGCTTGAAAGAAGAAGCCTAATCTCACCATACTAGAGCTTCCCTAGAAGTGGGAGCTTCTGCTTTCCACAAAATCAAGATTTTTCTATAATTTTCAATAATCTTTTTATTGCTTTTCATGAGAGCAATTGGGGAACAGCAGTTGGGAAAAACAATAAGACCTTCATATTCTTTGAGCCATGTTTCCCAGAGGACAGGACTACCATATTGAGATTGCTAAAGCATCGGTCTATAAAGCAGACAATGATCTCTGTGCAGCTGGCTGTTAAGTATACTTAGACTCTACATTGTGACCTAGATTCTCCACAGACAGATGCCATGATATTGATTCAAGATGAGACAGTAAGATGTCCCTTATTTTGGCACTGGGCCTCAGGCACACATTCCAAACCAGTTTAAACTTGGCCATCCATTTTTCTTTGAGAAACTTTATTCAAAGATGTAACAGCCAGTGCACATTTTACTCATTGTATTTATTTTCTTCAAAAACACTACTCTAACCACAGAGAAGTAGTAACTAACATATTCCAACACACAGTTGTATTATGTTTCTGATATTAAGAGAAAGGACTACCAGGTGCGGTGCCTCACTCCTGTAATCCCAGCATTTTGGGAGGCTGAAGTGGGCGCATTACCTGGGGTCCAGAGTTCAAGACCAGCCTAACCAATATGGAGAAACCCTGTCTCTACTAAAAATACAAGTTGGGCATGGTGGTGCATGCCTGTAATCCCAACTACTTGGGAGGCTGAGGCAGGAGAATTGCATGAACCCAGGAGGCGGAGGTTGTGGTGAGCCGAGATCACGCCATTGCACTCCAGCCAGGGCAGTAAGAGTGAAACTCCATCTCAAAAAAAAAAAAAAAAAAAAAAGAGAGAGAGAGAGAGAGAGAGATAGGACTTTTAGCATTTCACTGTTCAGTACAACAATGACTGTAGCATATCCTGAATCCAAAGCCCTTTCACACATTTTCCATGGCAAAAATCTCATATGCATATTTCTCTATTCTGCTTTACAAAAAATGCATGATCTCTCACATCAGAAGCTTCACGGTTTTGCACATTTACTCTCTCTATATATATATATCTATATTCTAACTCCATCTGCCTGACATGCCATCTCTGATATTTCTGAACTCATTTGTTTTCAAAATTCTGTCTTGAAGCATTCATTAATTATTCTGTTATGATAACATTCTGAATCACATTGAAATTCCAGTGAAATCTTGTTTAAGCCAACTCATGGTAATAACAAGTAAAACAATTATAATGTCTAAAATATATTAAATTCTTAGCATGATTGAAGTACTAGGCCAAACGTTGCCCTATATGTAGTCACAAACATATATGTGCATCATATGCAAATATACACACAGATTATATATTGACATTATATTTGTAAGGTAGATATGTTTTCATTTCTATTTTGAAAAAATAGAAACTTAGATCAAGATATTAACATTAAATCATTTGTTTATTGGTCAACACAAATGAAGTTTAAGAGGTCTTTTTCCATTTTTCTAATCCTAAAAAATTAATTTTTACTTTATATGCAAATGGAAAGCCTTCAATGCATTTTCTTCACACACTACCCAGCCTGGAAAATATTTGTTATAACAATATGCAAAATCCCATTTGAGGAATTTGAAATGACTGGTGATATGTGAATTGGACTGGAGAGGTAAGGATAGAGTAGAGAATATCACTGCAGATAGCAAGGACAGATGCAATAAAATTTAATCTCTGCATTTACTTGTAAAATATTTCATTTTTATCTGTTACTTTGTGAAAGAGGTTAAGAAGGCAGAAGGCGCGAACCTTGTTGACTGCACTGAAGGGAAAGAAAAATGGACAGAGGGTGCACTCACTGCTGTCTCCAGAGACAAAAGGAGCAAACATGCTCTGGCATAACCCTTAAGAAAGTGCACTAAGGGAAGACAATTATGCAAAAGTGATCAAAAACAAAGTACTCTCTAATAGTGGCATTTCCTCTGGAATTTTGTAGACAGAGATATTATTTTGACAGAGAAGACTATCCTGGTATCCCTGAAATCAAACATGTAGGGTAATTTTATATGTAAATGTAATTATAGATGAATTAAACCAGTCATGTGCACAAAGAATTTTAGGGTAATACTGGCTGGAGATTGTCTGTAAAGCTGGCTGGGCAGATTCCCGGGTTGCCAGTGTATGAAGCAATTTTCACGATTTAGCAACACATCAATCACCGTTGCTGTTCCTCGAATTCCAAAGGTTGCTGGCCAAATGATAGATGACTTATCAAGATGATCTTTGGCTTCCACTTTTATCTCATTTTTGTTCCCCTGGACATTGAACTCTATTCCCTAAATTCTGTCTTTATGGCAATTTTTTGAAACTTTTTGAGTATTACAAATCAGACAAACATGAAATAGTTGAGCATTGTAGACTCTTAATGGAAATTCAAAAATAAATTTTCATGAAAGCTATACCTCCCTCCTGATATAGCATTAATAATTATAACTTAAATGATTTCCTTTTAGGACACTAAAATGTTTGAGGTGAGAAGTCAAAACATTTACTCTTGTATTTATGAAGTGAACAGAAATATTGGTCCTTAACAGTTTGGTTGTACAGGCATTGTCATCTGTTTAGGTAGTTTGTCATGATGATGAGGACTAAGCTCTGTTTTTTTTTTAACTTACTCAAATTCCTTTCTAAGGAGTCTGAGGAGTCATGACCTAGAAACCATAAATTCTCATGAGATGGGTTTTTTTTAACCCCATATATCATGACTTACTTTCCAACCTGACTCTGGCATAATGAGGAAGAAAATAAAAATGTTTTACCCCAAAATATATTTCCTTGCCATACCTTGAAATTGCCTTGCAAAGTCTCTTGTAGGAAAAATCCACATTCTATAGAGAATCCTCTTCACCCTTTGTTTTCCTTCCTTCCCGCCCAGATCCAGGAGATAATCAACGAAGAGCCAGGCACCCATTTAAATCCGATATAAAACAATTTACAACCTGCTCTCTCTAAAGTCTGCTATCTAAGAGCTCCCTCTGGATAATAAAACTTGGTCTTCACAATCATTTTTCTTTAACCTGAACATTCCTTTCTATGGATACCAGGTCTTCAGATAACCTCAACCAATTGTCAACCAGAAAATGTTTAAATTTACCTACAGCCCGGAAGCCCCTGCTTTGGGTTTTTCCACCTTTCTGAACTAAACCAATGTATTTCTTAAATGTATTTGATTGATGTCTCATGCCTTCCTAAAATACATAAAACCAAGCTGTACCCCAACCACCTTGGGCACATGTTCTCAGGACCTCCTGAAGGCTGTGTCACTCATATTTGGCTTGGAATAAATCTCTTCAAATATTTATAGAGTTTGACTCTTTTCATCGACAATGGTAATTGCCCTGGCTGTATGACTTTCACTGGTGAGATGGTGATTAAGATGGCCTTAATGGGCCAGGTGCAGTGGCTCACGCCTGTAATCCCAGCACTTTGGGAGGTCAAGGCGGGTGGATCACCTGAGGTCAGGAGTTTGAGACTGACCTGACCAACATGGCAAAACCCCATCTCTACTAAAAATACAAAATAATCCAGGTGTGGTGGTGCGTGCCTGTAATCCCAGCTACTCCAGAGGCTGAGGCAGGAGAATCGCCTGAACCCAGGAGGCGGAGGTTGCAATGAGCCAAGATCGCACCATTGCACTCCAGCCTGGGCAAAAAGAGTGAAACTTCATCTCAAAAAGAAAAAAAAAAGGAAAAAAGATGGCCTTAATATCCCTCTCAGTTTACTTTAGACAAATTTCTTCCTGACTTTTTTTTCCCTTACCTCACTTTTCTTGGTGCATTTACATTAGAACACTGGATGATTGCAAATTCTCTCTGCCCTTTAGGGATGTAAATCTTTTTAAAAGCCTGTTGGCCAGTTTTAACATGCAGGAATGTTTTTCTTGAAGGCCTGGGAGCCATCCCTTTGAAATGTAATCATCAAGGAAGAGGGAGTTTTCACCTTTCAGTCTCTACGGGAGGGCAGGAGCCTAACTTTTGACTTTCATAAGAAACAATTAACAAATGAAATGGCCTAATTACATTGATCAACCTCCCCCCAGCTTCCTCCAGTACATTTTTACTAGCTCACCCCAACATCTGAAAGTCTTTTAGTCTTTTGTTTCAGTGAAATTGAGTTCATTCTCTCTCCCCTATTGCAATAGTCTTGAATAAAGTTTTCTTGTCTGTTTAACTCTATCCAGTAAAATTTTTCTTTGACAACGGCTAAAGGACATGTGAACCTGTTTTAAGAGTCAGAAAAGAGAGTTTATTCTGAAATCTGTGTTTTCAAAATGGAGTTTCTTATACTTTGCAATCTCTGAGCATCTAGTTATAAATATTTTTCTTTCTTTCTACTCGTATATTGACAATATAAAAGCCCAGAATTCAACTGTTGATAACTGTGAAGCAAATTTTATAGTTGACTTGGCTCTCATGGCCAGGGATGATCTTAGCAATCTAACCAAGCATAACATAACCTCGATATTTGTAGACATGAATTCAGTTCATGCATACATCCTTTCTTTTACAATTAAGGAAAAATTATAATTTAATACTGTTCTAATTCACGTAATGACTATTCTTCTAATATAGACATTTTAAAAATTCAGAATGCATGTTCTATGGTGTTTCAGACAGGTTTTACTTTTCTCTATAGTCCTAGTGAAATATGGTGGCAGAAGATAAAAGAGTTCTATATGTGATACCCTGGGCCCAAGGTATACAAAAGTCTCTTATCTAGTGTGATTGCCAAGATTTTAGGGCCACATCCGACTAAAATCTATCCCGGTCTGACTTTTTTTATTATTAGAAGTAACAACAAAATCTGTTACTTCAGAAAGCCTCAGTTGAAATTACAAGTAGTAGCTAAGGAAAGTTCTCCAGACACTTTCCATCAACATGAGAGTATGAAACAGGGAAGATCTGAGTGGGAAACTGGAGAGTGAAAGGAGTGAGACTCTCATGCAGGGGGAAGGTAAATTAGCCAGCACTGAGCAGCGGGGTTTCCAAGGATGCTAGGCCATTAATGGTCTTTTTATAAATTATTAAATTTTTAAATATGACGAATGGAAGTCATGAATCAGAAGTTGATAAATTATTGTAGTTATAGTTCCAAATTTTGAAATTTCTGTCTAGGTTTACTAACAAAACAGCCAGTATGTTTCTAATTTAGAAGACAAAAGATAGACACATTCACCATAAGAACAGCTATTGTTTGGGTTTTTCTAGTTAATTACTAATTTCCTCACTTTGAAGAGACAACAAAGAGCTTCTCTGTTCTGACCTAGTGAGAACTTACTCATAGAATACAGATTTATCACACATAAGGAAATGTAAAGTAAGCTTTATGGTATTGCCACCTCCTGGTCCAAGAACAGAGAATAAAATTGTATTTAGTGCAAAAAAGAATTGTAGCTTTTACTACCATATAGAGAGAGCAAGCCCCTAGCAGGGACGAAGTGAGCATGCTTTCCTAGATTTGGCAGACCTTGGGGAATGGTGAGTCAACTGAGACCAGTCAGGATGGACAATAGAAATCCCACAGTGGGTTCCAGCAAGTACAAGAAAATAGAAGTGAATGTGTTTCCATTCATTATTATAAAATCTATTACTTCAGATTAAACTGAGAAGAGAATTAAAGAACTTCACTTACATGGGATTGACTGGGTGTTGTTTTAACTCTTACCTACAGCAGAAAATTCCCAACCCTCACTGCTCAAGCATAGACCACCCTTCACTTGCCTCAAACACAATCACTAAACAACCATTCATACTCTTATTTTAACGTTCCATTTGCCTCTAAATTAAACAAAGACAAGAACATCATTGTAGCATCCTGTGTACATTTTAGGACCAATGAGCTTCATCAAATTTAAGATAAAAGTTGGCAATCAAATATACTAAAAGAAAATCATTACCAAGGGGCCTTTGCTAGGAGGGAGCAGGTGCTCTCAGGGTAGACTATGGATGCAGAACTCCAATGGCGATAGTCATCAGTGGTCAAGTCCAGGCCCTAAATATTTCCTAGGCAATGTTGCAGATGAAATATATGCCTCATTTCCCTTGTCCTAACAGATGAATTTCTAGCCACCAAATGCCACAGCCAACTCTTGATTTTTTTTCATCATGCTTAATGACTTCAAACCTTGAAATTAAAAGTCAGTGCCATTGTTTTGGGTGTTTTATATATATATATTTTTTTGGGAATCAGATTTAGAAGGCAATCTGATTTAACATACCTCCTACCATTGCTGGTTTAGAGTCATCAGTTTGAAGCCAAACCTGGACATGTGTAGCTGACTCTGATTGGAATATAGAAGTCATGCTAAGGGCAACAGCATTTCTAACCTTGTTTCCCAATCTCAACCCAGGTGTCCAGAGAAGACCCTGCCAATTCCAATCTTACTGTTTCAAAACAGAGATTTGGCCCTTATAAGTACCACCAAATCTAGCTGCCCCTCCAAATAGGGTTCTATTTTCCTGTTATATAGTTGCAAACAGCTGTTAGGCAGATTTGTTTCAGGCAATGGCATAAATCATTTTTCTTAGTTTAAAAAGCACTTAAGTTCTTAAATCTTTTGTTCAGGAAGAAAGTCTAAGCCTTTAAGAAAACCTTCTGGTTTAAGTTAGTATGTTTGAAATCATGAGCTCTGATGCCTTCTGGAGAAAAATAAAATAAAATAAGAATATGTTTGGAATCTAAGATCCATGAAAATAAACATGTTAAAGTCTTTCGTTTTTACAGTTATAAATGTAAGAGATCAATAAACATTTCAATTCATTTATAAGTAAATCAAAATGTTTATTGATCCCTTAGTTGAAATTTGAAATTTTAATTTTTGAAAGTCGTATTTAATTTAGGGTATCCATGGAGACATCAATACATGTAGCTGTCAGTGTTCTATGCAAAATAAAAGTATGTTTGGATAGAAACCATATAGATAATAACAACAGCTCTCTATTATTATTAGTTTAACTCAATAGGCCGGCTACTTTCAGTCCATTTATTAGAAAAAATCTCATAACTACTCTCTGCATAGTAGGTTGAAGCACATTAAATTGTAACATTTCAACATTTTTTTTCAAAAACAGCAATTTCATAAAGGTCCAATTTAATAGCTATTCCAGGCTCTATTTTGCTGAAGAGAAAAGTGAGGACTAAGAGGTTAAGTAATATGCTCCAAAAAATAAAAAGCCTGCGGTTAGCAAAAATGGTGCTCAAAACAGTCTCTCTTAAGTTCAGACTTCAGTAACTTGAGGGTCTACTGACTTGAGGTTCAAGCCTGAGAGTCTATTGATTTCAGGATCCTCAAATCGCCATTGTTTTTTTCAATCAGTTCAGTTTGGCAAACTGCCTAAGAGTCATAAATGAAAGTAAGATTTTTTTCTTACTCTGTATAATACATGCACTCAGGCTTTTTGAGCTTGACTTTGAGTACAGAACCAATCTTTTAGGACCAGAGAAAGAAAATCACGTATTCCCAAATAAATCAGGCAGAAGGCTTCTTGGTTCTAGGTGCCACTTTGAGCTGGGTTTTTAAAACCAGATAGGGGTTTGCAGTGCTGGAGAGGAGGGGAGTTCCTGCTTGGTGCACCTGCTTGTGCAAGTGTTATTGTAATCTGATATGAATAGCATCACAATTAGCTTCTGTGATGCAGACCTTTGGTTTTTCATATGTCTCTCTTTCCCTCTTTCTCCAGACAATCCCATCCAAAGTCCCCACTGCTGGTTCCCTTTTGGCCTGTTTCTATATCACTATAGTAAAATGTGACAAAATCCAAATACTTTCAATCAAACAAGTCATATGACCAAGTAATGCACATTATAAGAGGAAGCATTATGAACAATCAAAGCTTTAATAATAGCTCTAGACATTTCTAGTCTTTCAAACAAAATAAAAAAATAAAATCAGCTAAGTTTACCTTTTTACAAAACTTCATACTCACTTAAGATCGTTTTGATTTTATGACCAACCACAAAATATATAATTCTTTGTGGGCCATGAGAAGGTTTAGGCTGTCATGAAACAAAATATATAGCTACTAAAAATGGGATTGCCATATGATTTAATATATAACCTGGGATCTGAGAAAGTTAACTCTATTTGTTTCTTTAGTTGTGATCTCTGAGCCAGTGCCAATGAAGTGAGAGCAGATTTCCCAAATAGTGTTTGTAACATGATGCTGTTCAGAAGACATTAACAAGTGTTCTGTGTAGGAAAAAATATGGCCCATATGTTTGGCAAATACCAAATAACTCATTCCCCTGTGGCAGATCCCTATTACATGACATATGAAAGTCTTTGAAATTTCCCAGGGGTGAAATAACCTATGCAACATTTTAAACTTATTGTACTACAAACCTATCCCCAAATTTTCTCTGACCTTGGCATAGTTCCCCCCCCCACACACACAAAAGATCTATTCAGATGTGCTGCAACACTACTGTTCAGCAGACCTCATTTTGAGTGGCATTGACTTAGAGGAGGAAGATCTGAATCAGGATCAATCAGAATATTTATTAAGCAATTATTATGCTAAAAGCACTCTGCTTCATGCTCTTTGTGAAACATGCATATGAGAAAAAAATTACTGCCCCGACCTTGTTTACTTTCTCAGCAGAACAGTTAGACATTATTAGGGGTTGAAATGTGTTCTCACAAAAGACGTTGAAGTCTTAACCCCCAGTGTCTGGTGCTGTGACCTTTGGAAATAGTCTGAGGTCATTAGAATGGACCCAGATCCAACATATAAAGGCAAAATTTGAACACAGGGACACACACACACAGGTAAAAACACCATGTGAAGGTTGGAATTATGCTGCCACACGCTAAGAAATGATCAGAAGCTAGGTGAGAAGCCTGGAACAAGTTCTCCCCAAGCACCTTCAGAGGGAGCATGGCCAAGCCAGCAATACATTGATCTCAGAATTCTAGCCTCCAGCACTGTGAGACAATACATTTCTGTGGTTGAACACCCAGTTTGTGGTATTTTGTTTCAGCAGCCCCAAGAAATGAATACAGACATATTCACAAAATAGCAGCTAGTCATGTGGCTCATTATTTAAACATCAAATGACTAGTACAGGTAATGTTCATTAAAGGAGTTCAGAGGAAGTAAGACAGTATGAAGTCTAAACATGAAGAGAAAACTGAGTAACTGAGAAAGAGAGGAAGATGCTGCTGGTTGACTACTAATAATTCAATCTCATTCTGAAAAAAAAATTACTATGGAAAGTGATGGATATCTTAAATTGCTTACTTGTAGTAATCATTTCTCTACGAATATGTATATCAAAACATCATACTTGTATACTTTAAATTTATACAATACAAATTAATTATTTAATTAATTATAAAAACTCTCCACTTCATCCTGTTTTTCTCACTGACCAATATGGTTTGACTGTGTCCCCACCCAAATCTCATCTTGAACTGTAGTTTCCATAATCCCCACTTGTTGTGAGAGGGACCCAGTGGGAGGTAATTGAATCATGGGAGTGGTTTCCCTCATGCTATTCTCATGATAGTAAGTTCTCACAAGATCTGATGGTTTTATAAGGGTATTCCCCCTTCACTGGCTCTCATTCTTCTCCCTCCTGCCACCTTGTGAAAAAAGATGTGTTTGCTTCCCCTTCCGCCATGATTGTAAGTTTCCTGAGGCCTCCCCAGCCCTGTAGAACTGTGAGTTAATCAAACTTCTTTCCTTTATAAATTACCCAGTCACAGGTATGTCCTTATAGCAGCGTGAGAATGGACTAATGCACTGACTGAACCTGTCTTCTAGGATAAATATTGAAAACAGCAGAATTTTGTCTTTCTACCCTCCCCTCTTGCAGCAAGAGAAATGGATGTGACCCAGTGCTGGTCAATGGGAACTGACAAAGTTTGCAGGGGGTTCCTGGAAAATTTTCCTCCCCAGTTAAGAGACACCTGAAGAGAATGCCACATTTCTTTTTCATTGTATGTGATTATATTTAAGTGAAGCTGGAATGTCTATGTTCAGTGTTCTTCCACGGGGGAAGAAATTGGTGAAAGACCAAGGGTAGCAGGTACAGAAGCATCAGGGTTTATAAAAATGTCAGTGTGCCATTGCCCCAACTCTCAACACACCTTTTATACAGACTCCTTATACATAAGCTAATATAATTCTTTAGCAGTTTTAGTTAAACATTATGCTATTTGCAGGGATAAAGATAATTCTGAATGACGAGAAAGAAAAGGAGAAACAGAAGGGTAAAAGAACGACATGATCACAGATGTAGAGTCACGGTACTTAATCTATTCTCAGGGCTCATCTCAACATTGTTAAAAACCTTTTCTATTCAAGGATTTTACTTGAATACTATGTCATCCTCTAGGCCTTAACTGATTTGCATTCCTCCTTTGTTTGAACTAATATCCTGTCTTCCAACTGAGTTGCCAAATTACCTAATCTCTATCTTCTGAAAACATAATTTATTCTGTCCCTATGTTGTGGTTGCTGATACACAACTTCCTAGTTCAACTGCCTACAGTTTTACACCGCATCACTGAGCATGTTACCCGTTGGGAATCCATCCAGGTATGCACCAACCTCAATTCTTGCCTCCTCAGAAGAAAGAATTCACCTGAGGGCCATAAAGCAAAAGGGGAGATGGAGGCAAGTTTTAGAGCAAGAGTGAAAGTTTATTAAAAAGCTTTAGAGCAGGAACAAAAGGAAGAAATGTGAACTTGGAAGAGGGACAAGTGGGTGACTTGAAGGACAAGTGCACAGTTTTACCTTTTGATGTAGGGTTTTATGTGTTGGCATATTTCTCGGGTCTTGCATCCCTTCTCCACTGATTTTTCCCTTAGAGTGTGCTGTCTGCATGTGCAATGATCAGCTAGTGCTTGGGAGGGGAGCATGCGCAGTGTTTACTGGAGTTGTACTCATGCTCATTGAAGGCGTTCTTCCCTTTACTGGTGGAATGGCCCTGGAAGGTCATATACCAGTTTAAGTCTGCCATTTTGCCTTTTAATGTACATGCTTAAGCCTTTTCACCCAACTCATGAGATCTTCTTCAGGAAGCTGCTGATCAGCATTTTCGGGTATTTCCTAACTATAGGGAGACTGCCTTTCCCTGGTGCTGGCTGCAACCAATTATTTTAGAAAGAGAGTTAACAACTGCCTGGCCATCACCTGATGGTCGCCTGACATGGCTGGTTGTGGCAGAGGCTTCTTCTGTCCTGCTTATGTTTGCCTAACTCTCTACTATAACAAGAACAGGCACATGATGCCATGCAGGAACTCAACCAATTCACATTGTATGAATGCACGGATGAATGAATAAGAATAAATGGGTGCCTCTACTGCTTCAGTCACATAGTTCTATACAAAAGTATCTAAATCCAGATGATTTTTTCTGTTGTTTTCATGCTAGGTACACTCTTAAGTATTGAGGATACAGCACTGATTTGTGGTACTATGCACAAAGGAAGGCCACTGAGTACCTCTGACAGGATTAACTTGATCAGATTTTGGCAGAAGTGTTGAGCATGGAATAGGAATTGTTTAGGAGAAAGTTATGAACAAGTGACTCTGTAATAGCACTGGTCATAGAGGATGGAATTTTGCTGAAATCAGTAAAAAGGGTCCTAAGAATAACAACAAAGAGATGGAAGAGGTAACATGAAGTTGATGAATACTTGAAGACATGTACGAGTCTGCAATTTTATATAGATTTTTGGCTCAGGTTATTAGCCAGTGAAGAGGTAAGATGTGAAGTAGACCAGAGAAATCAGAGTTTTTGTTGTTATTATTTTAATAGGGAAGACATCAAGATCAATTTTGGAGATTCTCTGTCTCCGTGCTAATCTGAGGGTAGAGCAGTACATTGCTTGTCTTGCAAGTCTGAACATGGAGGGAAATGTACCACACTATTATCCTTCATGTGAAAGATGGGAACTTATCACAGGATCCAAAGCAACACTGACTTGGGCACATTATTATCTGAATATTATGTGAAAGACACTTTTAAATTTATTAGGATTATGTTAAAGGAAACATAAATCCACTGAAAGATAGTGATGTTTTATATTTTTAAGGAATTTTGTTTCACTACACTATAGACAACATGATGCTGATAAATGTATGGAATCATAGAAACTATGCTTTGTTATCAATTTTATGGCATAAAGTTAGAGCTCTTTCTTAGAAAATATGCAAAACAAATTCTCTCCTAATGGCCTCAATAGAAAAAAACACACAGATATCTCTACAGTATCACATTGCTAGTATTATAACTAAAGGTCAGTTGTCATATTTACTATCATATCTGATATTTCAAGGGTTTATAGCTTATCAAATCACATCTGGCAGAAACTTGCTCTGAGGCTTTTCAGCTTGGTTTAAAAAGGTTTTTATTCTGTGAAATATGTACTATGGTAAATTTTATAAAGATAATAATTTTGTCAAAAATTTGGAGAAATTTTGGAGATAACTTTTCTCCCTGCTTTTAAAACACAAACCTGGGAGGGATATCTTGCACAAATACTTAATTAATTTTAGCATTTGGCACTGCAAAGTTAGATTTGCCTATTTACAACTAATTCTTGGGACATCATCTGCTAATGCCATTATTGTGGCAATGTTGGCAAAACTTGGAATGTTGTCATTTACATTATTTCTAAAGAAGCAGTGTGTTTGGATAACACACAGTAAATAGAATAGTACTCAGATGATGCAAACTAAAATACAATATTTTTAAAAAATAAAATCCCTTGATATCGTGTTTTTCATTTTTTAGGTGATACAGAGTAAGAGGGAGATGACATGCTGAATTCAGAAGGCCAGGATAAAAGAACTGGATTAGTCATCTAGTATAAGTCACTACATAAATTAAATATAATCTAACCTGGGTAACAGGTCTGAAAATATCCATGAAGGGTTAAGTGCTTAAAACCTGAAATTTGACATGCAGAATTGAAACACAGCATAGACCCTGAGTGGAGACAAGCACCACAGTAGCACAGTCCATAAGTAAGGCAGGTTTCAGCAGAAACTTACAAGTGAGTAGCAGCAAAATACTCACGGTTTCCTGAGCCCTCATCCTCTCACGAAGCAGAATGATCCAGGAGAATGTCCCTTATTCCTGGGCTGTTTCACAAATCAAGCAGGAACCTGAAAGGAACAGGGTCACTATCACTTTACTTCACTCTTTATCCTTTTCTTTTTTGCTTTTCAGACTCTATAATTTCAAGTGACCTATCTTCATGTTTGCTTTTTTTTTTTTAATTCTGATTGTTGGAATCTGCTGTATTAAACTTGAAATTCAATTATCTTATTGCCAGCTCTAGAATTTCTTTTTTGTTCTTTGTGAAAATAATTTCTGTCTCTTTGTTGATATTCTTGAATTGTTTATATCTCAGTTTGTCTCATTTTTCTTTAACTGTCTATTCATGATTTTCTTTATCTCATTGAGCAAATTTATGACAGCTATTTAAAGTTATTGTCAAGTAAATCTGAAACCTGTGTTTCTTTAGGGTTGGTTTCTGGAGATTTATTTTGTTAATTTGGATAAGTCACATTTCACTGTTTCTTTGTATGCTTTTGTAGTCTTTTGTTTAAAATTAGACATTTGAAAAAGCAGCTACTTCTAGTCTTTGTAGATTATCTCTATGCAAGAGAAAACTTTCACTAAACAACCAGTATGAAAATTCAAGGTCTTTTCAGGTCTTTTCTGGGAACATATCTTTCCTGGGAAATTGTGCATGTGTATGTAATTTCCCAATTCTTTCATATAGATGATGCTTTTGAATGTGTTATTTTGCTGAAGTGTCTCACCCCTGCCTCTTCTAAGGGTCTTAGATGTTCTATTGTATTCCTCTGTCTACAGTCTCTTGTCCCCAGGCACTCACAGGTCTGGAGTCCCCTTGCAGCTGTCACACACTGCAGCCCCCAGTATTGCATTCAGTGGTCTCCAACCTCATGCTCAAACCATGACAGTATTTCCAATCAATGCTCCCAGTTAGGCAAGATGGAAACCAGTCACTCAAGAAGCCCACAGATAAGCTAGAACATTGCAAACAAGTTCCACACTTTTCCTTCTGGTCCTGAGGGAGAAACTGGAAATTGGACAGTTTTCTCCCGACCATGCCTGGCCCCACTGGATAGAAAGGGTGGGATAAGGGTAAGCAAAAATGCCACACATTTTCTATCATTTTGAATGTGGCCTTTTCTTTGTTGGGGGTTTCTCCTGGTGACTGCAGATTCTTAGCTTGTTTTTAGAGTTCCACAAAATTACTTTGGACTGTAATGTTGTTGTTTATTTGATATTTCCATTGTAGAGCAAGAGCCTGGACTTTCCTATTCTACCACCTTGCTTCACTGAATTCTGGACCATTCATTTTAAAATTCTGTTTTATCACTCCTCTTAAAATAAAATAATTTCTACTTCTATCCTTAAGTTTACTGACCCTTACTTTTTCCATATTCAAACTACTGCTCAGTCTACCTAACTTGTTAAAATTTTATACATATACATATTCTATTTTAAAAAATCATTTACATATTTTGCTGAGCCTTTTTATCTTTTGTAGTCTCTGAAAATATTTATAAAAATCTGGTCTAAAATCTTTTTTTTCTTTTTTTGAGATGGAGTCTCGCTCTGTCGCCCAAGCTGGAGTGTAGTGGCGCGATCTCGGCTCACTGAAAACTCCGCCTCCTGGGTTCACACCATTCTCCTGCCTCAGCCTCCCGAGTAGCTGGGACTACAGGCGCCCGCCACCACACCTGGCTAATTTTTTTGTAGTTTTAGTAGAGACGGGGTTTCACCGTGTTAGCCAGGATGGTCTCGATCTCCGGACCTCGTGATCCGCCAGCCTTGGCCTCCCAAAGTGCTGGGATTACAGGTATGAGCCACCGCGCCTGGCTAAATTCTTAATTTTGTAACGCCAACATTTGGTTTATATCAGTGTTTATTTCCATTCACTGTTTTTTTTCTTAGTTATGGGACACATTTTCCTGTTTCTTTCTATAGCGGACCTTTAGATAGGATCTTAAAGATAATACTTGGTAGAAACTCTAGATTCTCTTCTTATGAATCATTTTGATTTTTTGTTCTAGCAAATAGGTAAATTACCGACTAATTACCTTACAACTGTAGAGGCTTAGTTTTCTGCTCTGTTATATCTTTCTCTTTGAGTTGTGCCCTTAATCATATTGTAAACATTATAGCTCAGTAACAGATTTTACTAAAAAAACTTGGTTCTATTTAGGTTTTCACGTTTATTCCAAGGTGCTAGTTAAGCTGATGTAACTTGGTAGGACACATTCTAAACTCGGATTCTAAAGGGGCTAGCAGTTAAAACTCTCTGCCCAACAGTCGCATCGTTCTAACTGTTGCTTCATATTAGGCTCATTGAAGTCTCCACTGCACCTGGGTACCTCATCAAACACCAATGAATTTGAAAGGGTTTAAACTAAGCTTTTGAGACTCTTCCCTCTGTAGCTCTCTCTTGCCTGGGAATTCACCTGTCTCCCCAAATTTCAACCACTCTGGCATCCCTGAAAAACACTCTCTCCGACCTCATGTCAATAAGACTTCATACTTGTATTGGCTTCTAGACATTGGTCAAGGTAAAACTGAGAAATATTCTCAGAAGAAAACCTGAACATAATGTGCATTTCACACAGGGAAGTTCGTTCCTTCAAAGAGGTAAATTCACTCCAGTCTCCATAGGGTTTAGGCCACTCCATAGTCACTTCAAACAATGTGTGCTTTTAAAATTATTTTGTTCAAAGTTTATTTTTGTTATTTAAAAGATTGATCTGATTCTAGCTTCTCCACGGTTAATAAAATACATAGCCCATTAAATATCAATTGGACACCATTAAAGTAAATAGAAGTCAAGATCAGGTTGAAGAGTTTCTGAGCAAACAAAGCCAGTTAGGCCTTATAAGTTACCTTAGGCTTGCTTGATTTGCAAACATAAGCAAAACTTAACTTGAGCTATTTCTTGTAAATGGCTGTATTAAAAACAACAATGACAATAACAGAACTTAAGCTCAACCAATCAGAAACAGCCAAGTAACTTATAATCTGTAACTAGGAATTTTCCAGTGGAAAAGACTAAATAAGGCAACCCAGTAAGGTTATACCTAAGTATAAACACTGTTATACTGGATAAGGTATAATAACAACCAATCAAGTATTTTCTTTCCTTTACTGCAGTGTCTGTTCTATAAAAGCATCTTTCTTTTTCCTTGGTTGGGCTCCTGGACCACTTCTGATTTGGAGCTGCCCAATTCATGAATCATTGTTTACTTAAATACACTCTTTAAAAATTTTACTGTGCCTTAGTTTACCTTTTAAACATCATTATATGGAACACCCCAAATAGGAACAAGAAGAAGATAAAGTACAGAATATATTCTGGAAAATATGATAATCAGTGTAATAATAGCTATGATCTATGTTTGAATTTATAATATCTGGCAGAAATAAATTTTCCACGTTGTCCTATATTAAAATCATCTGCCAGAATTTAAGTGAGCTGGATTTAGTGTCCATTTTTTATTTTTAAGGATAAGGAGCAGTTGACAAAAAAAAATAAAGTTAATTGACTATGTCTTAAGTACAGCTCTAAAGTGTTACTAATAATTATACCATCACACAGTTATTGACCTAATTTTGATTCTCAATTCTTGCTGGTTTTTGTTTGTATATGAGAAATAAATTTTAGTTTTATTATAAATGAAGGAACGCTTTGTTTCACTCTGTTACTTCTCTCTTATCTTTTTTTTTTTGTGGAGAGTTAGAGCGAACAAGCCATTTCTTCTATTTTTTGTTTCTTGTCATACAAAAGAGCAAAAGGGTTTTTCTTTCCTTGTTTTATTTTACAAATGATGGTCAACATTACCAAACCTATTGTTTGAGGTATAGTGGCCAAAATATGCCATTTCTTATGCCTGGCAAAAAATTATAGGGATTGCTTTGTGGCTATATCCACATGCAATTATCATAAATTGCTTGTAAACTGAGATTGCATGAATAAACATCATGGGCAGATACAAATCATTCGTGGAATACTTTCTAGTCACCTGAAAAATATTTTAGCATCAAGAATAAGCTCAGTCAGGAGTATTCACTAATGTGTAGATACTGTGGATTGAAAACTATCTGCAGAGATCAAATACCTAAAACATCCATTGTTTGTAAGTCTAGTATAAAAGATAAGCAGTGACAATTTTTAGGATTACATTAAAGAAAACAAAAAATAGTGAGCAAATTCTTGAGTATTAAGAATAGCAAGAATAGAATAGCAAAATTGTTTTTTACTTGGTGTACTTTAGTATGATGAGGGAATACTTTATTAAATTTTACTTTAGGGAATCTAAGGAAAAATAGTTTAGAGAATTTTTTGTTACGAAAGAATACATGGTAATATATCATTTAATCACATGTGTAGATTCTTGTGACTACCACCAGTAGCAGTGGTAAAAGTCCTGACTTTCAGCAAGCCCTCTTCTGATTTTCCCTAGCAAGAAGTGGAGGGTTGCCACATTTCTACCAGGTGAAGATGGAAGTCCAAGCTCCCCATCTAGTCCCAGCTGACACCATGGGAAGGAATCCTTTCACTGCCAGTGTGAATGAAATTTTAGCGGCCTACTTGAACACCTCTGATACCCATCCTCATGGGGAACCTGGGTTGCCTCATTATAGCCTGGCAAATGTGGAAGTCTCCAATCTCCATTCAAACTTAGTTGCTGTGAGTTTGAATGGATGGCATCATAATTTTTTCTGACAGAGTAGAGCAGTTAATGTCAAAAAGTTTTCTGTCTGCTAGGCTACCCCATTTCCTACTCTTTTTGGGTGTCTGTCTTTTGGCTAGAAAGAACGTTTATCCAAAAGACCTTCTTTTTTTTGCCATTGCTCTGCAGTGCTAGCTTTTACATAAATCAAATCTCAGTTTTTCTGGGACTCTTTCTATTTCATTGTTCCATTTATCTGTCTTACACACATATCTTAAATTCCTAATCGTATAATAGTCTTAATTTCAGGCAGAGTCTATCTGCTTCTCTCCTATTTCTTCTATTAATTTTGATCTTCTTAATGTCTCTCAATATTTTAATTTTTTAGTTTAGACATCTTGCACATTTTTGTTAGAATTATTCCTAGTCTATTCGATTCCTTTTTCTGTGCTTATTTTCCATAATTGAAATTACCAACAATATGATAAATCATATTTATGGAATGCAAACTCAATATTATAAATGTTTATTTTCTCTCTAAATCAATTTATATTTTTAATAGAATCACAAAGAAGATACTCATAGATTATTCTATGTCAATATGAATTTTAGGAAAATAAAAAGATTGACTTTTTTTTTTTTTTTTGAGAAGCAGTCTCACGCTGTCACACAGGCTGGAGTGCAGTGGCATGATCTCCACTCAGTGCAACCTCCGCCTCTTGGGTTCAAGCAATTCTCGTGCCTCAGCCTCCTGAGTAGCTGGAATTACAGATGCATGCCCCCACATCTGGCCCTTTTTTTTGTATTTTTAGTAGACACAGGGTTTCACTGTGTTGGCCAGGCTGGTTTCAAACTCCTGACCTCAAGTGATCTGCCCACCTTGGCATCCCAAAGTGCTACAATTACAGGCGTGAGCCACTGTGCCCAGCCAAGATTAACAATTTGATACTCACATATTTCCCAAAATGTTATAAAAAATATTAAGCATCATTGAAAAACCGATTCTATCAGGTATGAAACCATCTTTCTTAAACATTCCTGTATTGATTGGCAATTTGAATAGATTTCAGTTAGTTTTAAGATTTACATTGACAGGTTTGAGGTAGCTTCAATTTTCTCAGGTAATTCATCTATGTTATCTTATTCTCACTGACATTAATGTAACGATGCAAAACATAAAGCTTTATAAAGGGGAGATGTTAGATTCTGTGACAAAACTCTTTCCTGTTCCTATTTTACTTACTAATCAGAGTTAAGAAGATTACACTTTTGGGGGCTTTTGGGCTGGCTGAGGTACAAGGAAGGTGCAATCTGATGGATAAGAGTTTTCAGACTCCAGCTGAGAGTAGTTAGAAAGGGCAGTGCTTGACAAGAATCTACACTTGAGTGGAGAGCAAAGCCTGTAACTCAGAAAAATAATGATTCTGCTTAAATCCAATCTGATGTTCATTCTATAACAAGCAAAGGGATTTTCTGTAGAAACAGGTAAGATATGACCTCATCTTTTTATCTTTTTCTCTTAGAATTCTTTATTTATCTGGGATAAATTACTTCCTCCTTCAGATTTGTATTTATAGTAGTGGGATATCCAGTATTTATACTTAGATAAACACATGAATACATTACTGGGAAAGGCATTTTATAAGCCAAACAACACTGGAATGTAAGTCCTGATGACAGAGTTTCATGTCACCATCATACAAACTGTACACATCAACATACAATTCATAAAAATCATGTTGAATAAATTTTGGCTTATTATTTAATATACATAGGATTCACTTTTCCACTTTAGAACATGAAAATTTGTTTATGCAAAAAATAAAGTTCTTTCTGATTGAGCACACACATCTATTAACTTCCTTCTGAAAATTTTATTGTGTCATTCCCCCAACCATTTGCTCACAGTTTAAAACATACTGCTCTTGGCCAGGAATAAGCAATGTATTCTTTTACTCTTTTTATAAAATCAAAAAATTGAAATCAATGGAGCATAGTAGTGGTATAAATAATGCAGAATCAAAGTTGCAATAAGTGTGGAATTTTAATGAATTTTGATGGATAATTGAGAGAAGCACAACTATTTCTTGTCTCTTAATTTAGTGCCATTTTTTAACCCTTTTAACTTTTTGTAATATTGTGCACACATTTTACAATCTAGATGTTTATTAATTATTTTCACTTGTCAGTCATAAGCTTTTTAAATCAAATCACCTGGAAACAGTTTGTTTTGAGTCGACTAATGCATAATTCATTTTTATATTCATGAGTTATTCATGGAGTTTCTTGCAATGCCAAAGAAGATTAAAGTGCAATACTGTGTGAGTGTGTGTGTGTGGTGTGTGCGTGTATGCATGCACATGTGGGTTGAAAGAAAGGGAGAATGAATGTGACAGCAAACTACAGGTGTTGAGGGAAAAAAGGCCTTACTCCTATGAAATTGAGCTCATTTATCTTCCTTCCCATTTTATCCTAGCTTCTTCATCTTCCTCCCACCAAAATGTAATACTAGTATGGGTTAGTGTTTCCCAGTAGGATGAAATGTAGTTGCTCATTCAAATTCCTCAAACCAAAAAGCAATCAATACACTATGGCAGGTATGTTGTTCTAGAAGAAAATTGTTTTTGTGCATCTTAAAGGAAGAGCAATGAGTATCTGGGTGAAGAAAATCCACCCTGGAAGTAACTACATTTATCTTTCTTCAAGAGAAAAATTATAAAAAACAAAAAAAGTTAACTGTAAAACAATGATTAACTTAAATCTCTTTCATAGGCATTATATAACACCATCCCAAAGGAAAAGTACATCAGTAACCTAGAGAAAGTAAGAGAATGCTGTGTAAAGCTCAAGGAAAATGTGGATGTTCAGTGCATTTAAATTACATACCCAAGTTGATATTCAGTTTATTTAGGGATGTATGCATTTCTTTTTTAATGTGTACTAAATTTGCAGTAGGATGAGTAGCAATGGAAGTCTAAATTTAAGATAAATAGTTTCCTGCTTGTTAACATTAAATTGACTCTGTAAAGATTTTAATGTAAGATGAGGTGGGACTTAAGGCACCAGGAAATAAACATCATTAGACGTATTGAGGACTCTCTGACACTTCAACATGTGACTATATCTGAAGGATGAATATATAAATTTTCATATAGGTGAACGACTTTGAGAAAAGAAAACATTTGTAGAAACTGTTGGGTTGAGATAGTCCAAATTGAAGTTGAATTTGGAGTAAAAGTCCCTACCACCAAACTCACCAAAGAGATTACATGACCAGTTATATGGACTTTATTTAATTCAAATTCAGTAATAATATTGTGTGCTAAATAACCTAGTTATATTCTATATATCAGTATATGATATACGTATGTTGTATATGACCAGGACTAGGGGGAAGTGACAGGGACTTTTCTTGAGTGCAAAATTTAATGAGATGACAAAACAGTAATCAAGATAGATACTTATTTTTATAGATATATTTTTATTTAAGTTGATTTATATGAAACTAATAATTATTTTTAAAATAATTTCCACTTTTAGGTTCAGGGGATACTTGTATATGTTTATTACATGAGTATATTGCATGACACTGAGGTTTGAGGTATAAATGATCCCATCATCCAGGTGGTGAGCATAGTACCCAATAGGTAGTTTTTCAGCCCTTGCCCCTACTCTCTCTCCCCTTCCAGTAGTTCCCAGTATCTGTCATTCCCATCTTTATGTCCATGTATACCCAAAGTTTAGCACTCACTTATAAGTGAGAACATGTGATATTTGGTTTTCTGTTTTGTGTTAATTTTCTTAGGATAATGGCCTTCAGCTGCATCCATTTTGCTACAAAGGATATGATCTCATTCTTGTTTATGACTGTGTAGTATTCCATGATGTATCTATACTACATTTTCTTTATCCAGTCTTCCGTTGATGGACATTTAGATTGATGCCATGTCTGCTATTGTGAATAGTGGTGCAATGAACATCTGAGTGCAGACATATTTTTGGTAGAATGATTAATTTTCCTTTGGGTATATGCCCAGTAATGGAATTGCTGGGTCAAATGGTAGTTCTGTTTTAAGTAAAGATCAAAATGTAAATTAAAGATAGGATAGGCATATGCTTATTTATGCATTCTAATGTGCTGCACCTGCCTAGTTAATGAGCTTGCAGACCCATGATCAAGCCCTCATCCTAAACAGTTTTATAACTTTTGAACACAAAAACACAATATTAAATTTGGCATAATTTCACAATTTTCTTTGCATATGTATGTTCTTAGCACAATATATCAGGTCCTTCGCAGCTCCACAGAGTCCGTTGTTTGGCGGCAGCAATTCTAAGCTATCTTTTTGGAAAATCAAGGCACCTGAGGAGCTTCCCTTTGCATTCTTTCCTAGCATGGGTGGCATGAGTAATACTGATTTCTAATAACATTAAATTGTGTCTCTATTACAGAAGCAACCAGAGAAGCCACTCACTTTTTGCAGAATTGTGCAATGTATGTATATGCAATTGAAAGTTGCTAAGATATTTTATAACCATAAAAGCAGAATTTTGATCTGTTAAGTAGAATAGATGCAGGATTTTAACATGGAAACTTTACTCTTAGATGGACCAGTGGAGAGATGGAGAGAAAAATGGGTTTTAGTACAGTCCTACAACTTTAAAATTAAGATCCTTCCAAATAGAAATTACCTCACAAATTTAAAACATTACACAAAATATTTTTGATTGTTGTAGTCAATTTAAATCGTATTCTTATCAGAATAGAAAATGTGCTAATTGATACTAGCAATTTATTTGACATCATTGTTTTGATATTGAAATGAGATTGTTCTTTAAGTGATTGTATGTTGATACTATTTTATCTTTATTTTAAATGTAATAGTTGACACCTGCAAATAATGTATCTATAATATGTTTTATTTATATAGCATGATAATACATGGAAAATCATGAACATGTCATTTGTGAAAGGAAAAAAATCTTGGAACCCCAAAATAACTAAGCTAAAAGGAAAAGTCAAGATGGAAACTGCTTAGGGCAAATTTGCCTCCCATTCTATTCAAAGTCATTCCTTTGTTCACTGAGATAAATGTAGATCTGATTGTCTCTTTGGAAAGTTTAATCAGAAACTCAAAAGAATGCAACCATTTTTCTCTTATCTACCTATGACCTGGAAGCCCCCTCTCAAGTTGTCCCACCTTTCTGAACCAAACCAGTGTCCATCTTACCTATAATGATTGATGACTCATGTCTCCCTAAAATCTATAAAACCAAGCTGGGCCCTGATCACCTTGGGCACATGTCATCAGACCCTCCTGAGACTGTGTCATGGGCGTGCATTCTTAACTTTGGCAAAATAAACTTCCTAAATTTACTGAAACCAGCTAAGATATCTGGGGTTCACACATTCAACTACACTAAATGAAATGTGTGTACACAATACATTTTTTATTTATAGACTCGATCACGATTTCCCAACATTTAATAATACGTTTAGCCCAATTAAATTTATTGTGATTTACATTAAAGTTGGGTTCACTATTTCCATGCCTTATTTCTTATTGCTGCCTTTTTGTTAATTAATATTTGTTTTACTATTTTAAAAATTTTGTTTTTTTAATTTATTTTACATCTGCTGGTCTAGTATTTATACAGACTCTGATCTAGTCATCCATAAAACTTTAATGTGCATATTTAATGATGTCTAAATTTAAATAACATTCTAAACCCTCTCCTTCATCTTTTTCTTGTGTCCTGAGCTTGGCACTCCAACTGCTGGAACCAAGATATGATTTTTTTTAAGTGAATGGTTGGGTTCTTGCAGACCTCTTTTGCCATCTCTGGGTTCATCACTGCTACGAAGAATATATCTTATTCATAAAATAGGTGTTCTATTGGCATAGGTAACTTCAGGGCACCTGTCATACCATACGCATATAATTGGAAGTCTGTTTATGTTATCTTTATCAGGTAATGAATGATATGGCTTTATATGGCTATGTTGAATTCATTTTGTTGGTTTGTTTTTGCAAAACTCTCTACTGATTAATTATATTTGAATTCCAATATTTCCCACTAGATTAGAGGTGTCAAAGTCACCTAATACTGAGCTTTGTTTAGATGATCATTATTTAATAAAATTATTTTTTATTTTATATATAGTGAAATGATTAGCACAATTAAGTTAGTTAACACACCTATGACCTCACCTAAGTACCATTTTTCTTGTGTGTAAAATAGTATTTAAGATCTACGGTCTTAGCAAATTTCAAGTGTACAATACATTATTGTTAACTGAAGTTACCATTCTGTACATTAGCTCCTGGGAATTTATTCACCTTATAACAAAGTTTATACCTTTTCGCCAGTATCTTCTGATTTCCATTACCTTCTTGTCCATAAAATCATCATTCTATTCTGTTTCAGGAAATTCTAATTATACCAAAATTAATTGGTGTATTCCTATTTATAAGTCTTCTGAGCTAAATTGAATTAGTTTATAATTAAATAAATCATACATGCTATTGTGACTTTCAGTGTACTTCTATCTTCTTAATACAGTCATTACCAATTATTCTAAATTGCTTTTGTATCTCTGTAGATTTCTTATCCATAATTATACACTTGTGAGTTTTTTGTGATTTTTTAATATTTTTGATTATTTTGTCTTAAATTTACCTATTAACAGAATTATTAGTTTTATTAGTTATACTTTTCCCCCTCTTTTAAAATTCATTTACATATTCTTTAGTTGTTCCCATCTCTAGGCACATTTTTGTTTACCTTCTAATAGCTTGCTTTAAAGAGTTAAATTATCATCTCTGAGGCATTCCTGAAATCATGTCACATATGATTTAATCATATAATTGTTGTCTTAGTGGCACTACAAATCTTGGTTCTTCTCTTCCAGTCACTGTCTTTGTGACTTTTGGCACATCACCCCTAGTCTGCCTCAGTCAACTCTTCTCTAAGAAAAAATTGATAATAAGGATATAAGTACCTCATACAGAAGTTATTAGGATAAATGAGGTAATAAATGCAAACTGTGCTTGGCAAACTGTAAGGTTTACATAGATATTACATTTTAGTGTTGTCATCATTATTATCATAGTTTTTTTTCACATTATGAGAATCTTCTTAAAGTGTCTATAAGTTAGCTTTAGTGCTTTTTAAATTTTACTATTAATTTCTATGCATATTAGCTATGTTTATTGCTGTGTTTCGATAATGAATTCTATTTGCTTTTGCTATTGATTTTCATTTTCAATCTGGCCTTATAGAGAATTTTGTAAAACATTAGTTTCATTAAGACTACAAAAAAAGTGTACTGTATATGTGTATGCAAACTTTTTCTTTACGTTATTTAGATCTTGTCTATTATATATTTTTGTTGAAATTTTTATGTTGCAAGTATCCTGTCTCATCATCTCTCAGGCACATGAGGACGTTAAATTTCTTAACCTCTTTGGAGTTAGGAGTGCAGTTTATATGACAGGTTATGGTCAATAAGTAAGTAGAAAAAAAAAAGTAAGTAGAGGTGATGTGTGTTACGTTCGCACTTAAGCATTTAACAGTCACCCAAATACTGCAGCCTCTTATTTATTTATTTATTTATTTATTTATTTATTATTTTTTGAGGCAGAGTTTTGCTCTTGTTGCCCAGGCTGCAGTGCAATGGCACGATTTTGGCTCACTGCAACCACTGCCTTCTGGGTTCAAGCGATTCTCCTGACTCAGCCTCCCGAGTAGCTGGGATTACAGGTGTCAACCAGCATGCCTGGCTAATTTTTTGTAGTTTTAGTAGAGACAGGGTTTCACCATGTTGGCCAGGCTGCTTTCGAACTCCTGACCTCAAGTGATCCGCGTGCCTCGGCCTCCCAGAGTGCTAGGATTACAGGTGTGAGCCACCGCGCCCAGTCGCCTCTTCTCTTCTTTTGTGACAAAAGTGAAGGAAGTCTTTGTTAAAATGTCAAGTCAAAGTATCCAACAGCCTGAATCAATGAGTCATCATATGCAGGACTATGGCTTTAAGGAGTCCTCAGGTCTGCAGGGGACTTTGAGTAAATAAAAAACAGCTTTTTGTTTTCTTAAGTCACAAAGACTTTGGGATTCTTTGTTAACTAACTTAGTCATAATGTCATCATCCAAGACAATAAAAAAGTAAAATAAAATAAAGTAAAACTAAACTTGAAATCGAACTTGAGGACAGAATGTATTTGAATTAATGAGCAAAAAGGGCAGTGTGTCAGGCCAGAGAGCACAGGCAAAGTTGCTGAGAGTTGGTGTAGAGATCAGCCTCCCAGCATCTACCAGGTAAAAGTTTGGACTATGAAAGGTGGCAAGAGGACTGGCCTGCACAAAAGGCCCTGCTTCCAGGATTCTCAGCTGGTCAAATTGGTGACAGAGAAAACAGTGAAACTTAGCTGCAAGACATGAGTACAGGAGAGATGTAGAGGATGTAAAGGTTTCCAATCTTTACTCTGATCTAAGGCACTGATTACGATTTTCCAAGATTGCTACACTTCAGAGAAATGTAAAACTATCCAGGTTACTAATAACTATTGATTTTTGCACAGCAACTAGCAAGAGGGATTATAGTCAACTATTCATCCAAGATACAGGAATATATTATAAATATATCACATATGAAAATTGTGAAAAGAAATAAATATATCCATGTTTTATTCTAAAGTTCAGTGCTAATCGACTTTTTTAAAGAACTTACTGCCTTACAAAAAGCATTCTTACAAAAAGCCAATCAAATCTCAGGTGACTAGGTCAGTAGGGCAATTTAATGCCACTATGCCACTGTAGTTTCATTTACCAGACTCATGTGGTAAAACTGTAAAACAAACTAACAAAACAACAACAACAAAAGACTATCTAATAATTCTCTCTGGGTAAATTATAATCTTCCATGTATGTGATTTGACTGTGTAGCAATGTTGAGTTTGTCAATGACACAATGAAACTGCCAGGAAAGGTCAAGTAAGACATAATCACATGGAAGGATGTCCAAAAAATGGTCTTTAAAAAGACAAAGTGGATATAGGTGTCTATGAATAAGAAAAGGACCCTTATTCCAGAAAGCTGGGCAAGAAAGATGTAATCTCAAACTTTGAAGAAAAACAGCAAAAAAAAAAAAAAAAAAAAAAAAAAATTGAAAACACATAATAAACTGTAAATTATAAATTTAAACTTGTTCTTCTTACCTTTAAATATAGTATATATTGATTTTTGCTGAAAATGTTTAAAGGATGAAAGAAAAAAGGAAGACTATTTCATCAAAGATTATTTATTGTCATTTTTAAGTGTTAGGCTCTATAAAGAATGCAGTAGACGTATGTAAGTGTGAATAAGATTAATAAAGTCCTTGCTGTCAGGGTGATGATAAGGGGAGCACTTTCAGAGTAGCATTCTCTGCAACATAGGCATTCTGCTGCACTTTTAAGACACTCAGGAATATATGCCCAGTGTTGGTTATTGCACTTCAAAGAGACTCCATTGTAAATCTGCTTTGGATTTTTGTTTATTTCTCGGGTTTCATTATTTTTGTTCTGAGATTAGTTAGATTCTAAACCGGTAGTTAGTCTTTCCTCATATATGAAGTATCTTCTTATGTGGTTAAGACTATCTTTTCAATATCCATCTTAGTCTCTAGCTGATGATCATCAAATAAGGCCTTAGTTAAACTAAACTAGTTCAGAAGTGATAGCTCATGTTAAATAGTTCTACAATTTGGTCCAACATAGGAAAAGTAGATTTTCATCAGCTGATTTAGTTGAAGTCCTTTTCTTTTCTTTTCCTTTCTTTTCTTTTCTTTTTGATGTTATATTGTATTTCTTGTGAAATACCTTATTTCCAAGGTTGGCTATTCTTATCCTGTTATGATGTAAACTTAGGTTTCCTAAGCTATTTTTCTCTGCTTGGTATTAACAGATTTTCATTTAAGGGAATGCAGAAAAATTCCATTAAAATGGAGGAGAGGTTTTAAACAATAGTCCAAAAATACTTAAAAGTATTGAGACATCAAATATTTCTGTTTTAATAGAATCAAGAAGAAAAATACTTTGAAGGAAGGGAATTTATAAAGAACATTAATATTTTTGGGACATATCTTGGTCTTATAGATAAACTATCAAAGAAGAAACCTTAGCACTGTTTCTTACTTTCTGTATGATTTGGAGCAACTTATTTAATTGCTCAAATATGGTAATCTCATAGAATTGCCTTTGTCATTACATGCAATAGCTGAATAGTTTTTTAAAGGTACTTTATAAAAATTTTAATGGAAAAAAAAAGAAGAAAGGCATATTTAAGGAAAACGACCTTTTATATGCTAAATGCCCAACTTCATTATTCTGAGATGTAATGCCAACAAGTAATTAGCAATATTTTGTTATAATATCATTGTATTATAAATTTATTAATATATTACTGTTTATGTTTCTGTGTTCAGGAATAGTCTCCTAGGGCAAATATTTGATTTTTATAACTTGTCACCTTACAGCTCTTTTATTTTCACTTGTATAAAGAGCTAAAAGAAAGAGTTATCAAAATATACATGAGAAGCCTGTGCAGGTAGAGTATCTGAGATCATTATTCACCTAAGAAACCCTTGAATCAGCAACAGGAACACTTTGGCATAATACCTTGCATTTTAGCTGTGTGCAGAAAATGGCCTAACAAGAGGAGATTTAATGTACAAATCTCTCGTTTGAGTTTGCCAAGCAACATGTTATATCAATGAGCTTCCACTACTGAAATCTCCTGTGAAGGGGAGGAATGCTTCCGATACGAGTTATTATTTTCAAATATAGTTATTATTCAGAGGTTAAACATAAGTAAGTGTGTTTTTAAGGAGGGCACTACCATGTTGGTTTATTCTTCATTTACTCCTACGTCTTTATTTTTAACCCAGCCCCAAGCCCCAGATGTATTAAATAATGGCAATTATCCTATCAGCTTGTCTTCTCTATTTGTCCCTATGGAAAACAGTTGCTGCAATGAATTAAAACATAAGTAATTCAGATAAATACAGCTATTAAAGTAACTCTCCTTCATCAAGAAAGCCAGAACTGGTCCCACTTTCCTGGGTAATATAGGGATAGTTTCCCCAAATGTTTTTTTCTCTCCACTTTTTAAGGAGCACTTTAAGTGTCACTTTACTGTTTGGCACAATTTCCATTGGTTATAACTGTGCCCATCACCCTCCTCACTATTGTTTCCCTCCATAACCCACTCTCTCTCATGCACTGGCTCTGGAATTTTCCAAATTCTGAATCACTTGATCAACTCAACTTTACAAAGTATTTAAAATAATATTATATCAAAGTTAATATATAATAATGTTGATTTTGATATAAAATAATACTATGCCCATTGCAAATATTATACTGTGGATTTTTTAGTTTAATTTTATTTTTATAAGACTCTAAAGAAGGCATTCCTTGATTAAAGAGTCATTCCAGAACTCCGGAAAATATGTTTATAAATTTAGGCTTAGCTGTGCTATTTTTTTTTTTTTTTTTTTTTTGAGACGGAGTCTTGCTTTCACTGCCCAGGCTAGAGTGCGATGGTGTGGTCTTGGCTCACTGCAACCTCTGCCTCCCAGGTTCAAGCGATTCTCCTGCCTCAGCCTCCCAAGTAGCTGGGATTACAGAAGCCTGACACCACACCCGGCTAATTTTTGATATTTTAGTAGAGGTGGGGTTTCACCATGTTGGCCAGGCTCATCTTGAACCCCCGACCTCAGGTGATCCACTTGCCTCGGCCTCCCAAAGTGCTGGGATTACAGGCAGGAGCCACTGCACCTGGCCTAGCTGTGCATTTTTAAATGAGAATTTGTATACAAATTTCTCAGTGGAACCCTAGAGGATAAATGGACCATGTCATGCTTCACGTCTTGCTGTGCTCTGTTGATGTCAGTGCTATTTGGACGAGAGCACTGTTGACTGTGATCCTATGTCTCATATGATTGCTTGTCTAGTTAAAATCAACATACGCAAGTCCTGTCACAACATTTTGATGGTTTCATGTAAGATTTGGAATTTAAATTGGTGTGTATTTGTTAGATGTCAATAATACTGTCAAATAAATGGTATTTTCTCTCCATTGAAACTGATAAACAATTGAAATATTGGATGTAGCATAATATGGTTAGGAAACAAAAAGACAATACTGCCTAAAATGTGTTCTACTGACATGTCAATTGAAGAGTTTTTTAATAATAGAGAAAAAAATGAATAGAATTTCAATACAGTTTCCAAAATAGTGTGACATTTGAACTCTGGCATGCTCAATGGAATAGTATACAACCTTTAACAAAATGATAACATAATAATCTCGAATAAACAGCTATAATAGAATGTAATTAAAGTATGACCACACTTATTTAA
This sequence comes from Homo sapiens, assembly GCF_000001405.40. NCBI lineage: Eukaryota > Metazoa > Chordata > Mammalia > Primates > Hominidae > Homo > Homo sapiens. Next base: position 83,310,509 of record NC_000002.12, read on the forward strand.
GAAAAAAAACCACATACATGTTAGAAAAATAAATAAAATAAAATCAGACCTTAAAAATTTGATCAATCTACTTAATCACCATGGTCTATTACACTTGAAAATTGTGACCATCTGGATTTTCATGGCATATCTATTAGGACTATATATTGAGATGATCTCTGTCACCATGACTTAGTTCTTTGGTTCAGGGAAATATTTCTTATGAAAGATAAAACCCTAAACCAATAAATAATTTTACTGTTTGTATTAGGAATTTCCTGCAGACCAATTATCTAGTACAACAGTCTCCTGACCTTAGGAAACTATTTAAGAAGCAATAGTTTAATATTTAAGACTAACCACAAAACCTTTGCTTTGCCATGTCTGCCAATCCTAGAGTATTAACATCAGAGACCTTGTCCAGTCTCTAATAGTTCCTATCTTGGGAAAATCTACCATAAAACACTAAGTCCAGACTCCAAAGTCTATAACTATCTACTTTGGCTCCCAACTTCTTAGATGCTACTAAGTGTCCTTAACTCTTTCAAGCTGGTGTTCCCCCTTATGGTAGTGAGTTATAACAAATTTAGCTCTGCTTTATTAATATGCTACATGTTTAGGAGAGTTCAATGGAATGTTAAAAGGCAAGCTGACTTTGACTTGATCTTGAAAGTCAAGTTGACCTTTGTAGCAATAGACAAGGATATCAACCCATTTACTAATACCTTCCAAAATGGACTGGCATGCTTTCACTAGATTTTGTGTCCTTCAGTCCTAAAGCTTAACTCTACACCAAAAGTCAATCTCTAATTAAGTTCCTGCCTATGTTTGATGGTCAGTTTGATTATTTACCTCTTATACACTTTTTCTCCTCTACATATACTTTTTTGTTTGTTTGTTTTGAGACGGAGTCTCCCCCTGTCACCAGGCTGGAGTGCAGTGGCACGATCTTGGCTCACTGTAACCTCCACCTCCAGGGTTCAAGCGATTCTCCTGCCTCAGCCTCCTGAGTAGCTGGGACTACAGGCGTATGCCAGCATGCCCAGCTAATTTTTGTATTTTTAGTAGAGATGGGGTTTCACCATGTTGGCGAGGATGGCCTCGATGTTCTGACCTCATGATCCGCACGCCTCGGCCTCCCAGAGTGCTAAGATTACAGGCGTGAGCCACCTTGCCTGGCCTACATATGCTTTTTAAAAGTACTCATTTCTTTGATATTTTCATTCTGTGGTGAAACCTAACCCCATAATCACATTTTTGGATCCAAAGAATTTCATTGTCACATTATTATTATTTTTTAGTCTGTCTATGCTAGACTGTCTGCTTGAAGTAAATATTTCAAACAGTTCTTAAGAAAGTGAATATTGACAAATTTGAAATATTTTTTCAGATAATTAAGCCTGTATTTTATTAAAATTAACTGCTCAATGGTTTAAGGAACTCTTTCATACATTGTATATTTCAACTATACCTGTATGATTATCCCTGTGGTGTATGAAGAAAAAAGTTTTCAGTGTTGGTTAGATAATTAATTCAATTATATGACTCGGTGATATTTTTCATATGATCAGCCTACAATACCTTGCTGTCATTACTGAAGTAAAACATTGTACGATTTCTTCCTCATATCATTCACCTTTGTTTCTTTAATACCACATGGCCCTAAAGGTCAAGCAAATCTGACTTTTTCTGGATAATTTTGTTGTAGGAAAGAGAAGGTAGTTGGAAAAATAAATGTTTCCATATAGAACTATGCTTTGTCACGACCTTACACTCAAAAGATAAGGATCTTCAGAGCAGGATGATGTCACATGTTTCACTGACTTTCTCGAAATAAATTGCTTACTAAATCTTATGGTAAACATACATGGAATTGATCAGACAGCTTAACTCTTATGTAACTATGACACAATGGAAGACTAAAAAGAACATTCAGGAGCAGCTGTTTCACAAATGCTTCTAATTTTACTCTTCATCTCAAAGCCATTCATTTAAAGTTCCCTGAAAAAAGAAAAGTGGTACTTACTGTACCTCCTGCATGTAGCTGGCTACTATCCACCTTGTAGTTCTCATGGAGACTTTCATCCAAGTAAGCTTATGTTTTTTTGTAAAGATTAATTAGTTCTGAAAGTATTCTGGTAGGCCTGGTACATACAACGCAGATGTGAGGAAAATACTGAGGTGGAACCGTTTATTCACAGTGCCTGGTCTACTATTAAAAATTAAAAGCCAAAAAAAATCACCCCACATTCCTGATTTTTACTAATATATGGGATTTTGTGAAAGCCAAATTTTTTCCTTATAGGTCCTTAATTACTTCTACACTTGTGCAGTAATATAATGTCTTTGAGACCAAAGGAAAGTCAAGGAAATTTCTTAGCCATTGGCGGGAAATCAAAGACACAAACCAGCTACAACCAACTTTGTCCATTATTTTCCTACTACAATTTACAAGATAAACTGTGTTCGCATGTAAGATATGAAGCTGAACAATACACAGAGTTGTTGGTTTTCAATTTTTATTTAAAATTGGACTAGATACAGACTACTGCACAAGGCAGAAAATTGATCTTCTCTATAAAAAATTTTTTAAAAACCTGGTAAAATCATCAGCCCTTATTTTAATAGCCAGTGCAGTAAGTTTTGAAATGAACAATACTGTTGTGCTTTTATCAGTTCATCTTTCGTTTCTGTTACGTTTCAAATTTAGGAAAATGTACTCCCATCTGTGTACGATAAAATGAAAATGAAGGACATGCACGGTGGCTCACACTGTAATCCTAGAACTTTGGGAGGCCGAGTGGGTGGATCACCCGAGGTAAGGAGTTCGAGACCAGCCTGGCCAACATGGTGAAACCCCATCTCTACTAAAAATACAAAAATTATCAGGGCGTGGTGGTGGGCACCTGTAATCCCAGGTACTTGGGAGGCTGAGACGGGAGAATCGCTTGAACCTGGGGGGCGGAGTTTGCAGTGAGCCAAGATCATACCACTTCACTCCAGCCTGGAGAAAAGAGCAAAACTCCATCTCAAGGAAAAAAAAAAAAAAAGAGAAAAAAAAAAAGAAATGAAAATGAAAAAAAAAATGTAGGGGTCGTGTTGAGAATTATTCACAAAATTATATACTTAGTGAAGACCTGCCAGTAAATTTATAATCTAAAGTTGAGACTGCCTTCATCAACTGTATGTTTTGTGAGTTCTGGGATTGTAAAACAATTTTAACATTAATCTTCACCAAACAGAAAGATAGAAAAGCAAATGTCCTTTATCAAATGACCCGATAGTTATTAAAGAGGGATAAAATGATTTTGGACAACAAAAACAACTTGTGTTATAATTTATTATATGCTTTTACATGCATTATAATCCCCATAAAACCTAGTGAGGTGGATATCATTTTTATCACTGCTATTGTCCCTCAAATTAACTTAAATGATGAGAGAATATTGCTTTATATACACATGAAATATAATTTATGTCTGAATAATTCCATTTGTCTCCATGATACAACTCTTTTCTCCAGTGCCAGTTGGACCTATAACAAAATTTGTGTACATCCAGACTGTATTTAAACCAGAAATACAAAAATACAATAATCTATGACTCTCAGCCCTTGCACTTGAACTAGTTTCCTTCTAGATATTTAAATGTTGACACGAGTATATAGAGACTACACCAGAACTGTGCTCTAGGTAATTAAACACTGTGATCTCTGTATTCCCAGGAATTCCTATAATCCCTTTGGGCATCAATATTAGAGATTACACAAATTTCATCACTGGGATTCTGTCACATCCTCTATGGATATCAGCTTTTCACTAGTGCCAGAGTCTATTCTATAATGTAACTTAGTTATCTGAGTTCAGTGTCTCTCCTCGTTCATCCAAGGCTAGTTACTGCTTCAGACCAGATGGGCACTTCTAGCTCTTAGCACCATTATTTTTCTACCTACTGAATACATGAATGGTCACTGTCTAAAAAGTTCTTCTACCTTCACCACATATCACATTAAACTCTGGATATTAATATGAGCCCAGATTGTGCCACCATTTACTACATACACGTTCTGACTTTCACCCTTGCTACCCCCCTACGGCAACACGACTACTGATGGGCATCCTCCCATCTCTCTTTCTCTCCTCTCTGCTCTATCTTGGTCATTTGATCAATTTGGCTCATTTAATCTGTGCTTTGATCTTAAAACATAAAGCAGCACATTATCTTTCCTGTGCAACAGTGTTTTACCTCTCTAAATTTTTGGTCCACTTAGTTATTCTTGTTATTTTCCTTCTTTATTTTAGATCTCTAGCTTTATAAGCAAATAGTTTTATATGCCCTAGATTCTTTTTGTTTCTCAACCTCTTGTATCTCTTCATTTGTCTATTGAGCTTTATCTTCCTACTTAGTATTGAGCCTATTTATTTCTCCAGTTATATTGTTGTATATAAGGTCACTTAATATTGACCCAATTTATTTCTTCGGTTTTATTGTTGTATAAGGTAATTCTCCACTCCAGAATTTGTTTAAAAAAATCCTGTTAGATATACTAGCACCCTCTCATTCACAGTGGAGGGGAACTAGGACCCATTTCAGGGAGCCCAGGTTTCCTGATGGTTTGCTGTCCATTTGATGTCAGGAGTAGCTCAGAAGCTCATGTTTTGCACTTGATTATAGTGATCTTTTGACAAACAAACCAGAATGGAGTTATTTGTGCTAAGTGATACATAATCCTACTGAACTTTAAAATGGGCCAATTTTCCAAAAAAAAAAAAACAGATTCCAGTCAACGCGAGTCAGAATAATAAGAAAATTCCCTCTCTTTAAACTTTGAAACAGCCAATCTGCTTTATGTTCTTTCATTCTTCTTTCTTCAGCCCTCTTCTGCTTATAAAGCCAAGTTCCTCTGCTCAGTTCATTGGAACACTCATTCTATTGTATATAGTAAAGTTATTCCCATTATAGAATTGCAAATAAAAAACAATTAAAATACTTAAACTAAAATTCTTATAATTTTGTCTTTCGGAACTTATTATGAAAATCCAGAGAATATTATTATTATTTCGGAACTTATTATGAAAATCCAGAGAAGAGAAGATGAAGACCTGAGTCAAGTTTGAGGTAGTGAAAAAGATAATTCAAATACAAGTCTGTAGAAATCAGTGACTGTCTATTGACTGAATGTAAGAAGTGGCTGAGGAGAGAAATACATGACGTTCCAAAATTTTTCATATAAGAAGACAAAATGAATGGTGCAACCATTGCTAGCATTTAAACAACTCAGAAAAATAAGGAGAAGAAAGATTTGGGTTCACAGATGATGTATTCAGGTTTGTTAATTATTGTGATAGATACAGCCAAAATAACATTTATCTCAACACTTTGCTTTATTCATTTCTCTTTTACATAATGTTGTTTCTATATTTGTCCCATCATGGCAGAGTAGCATAGGCATAAAGGTTCATATCCCAAAGCCAGATGGCCTGATTTTATATCCAGGATCAAAGGTTATAGCTTGTATGAATGGGGGCAAGTCATGTCTCTAGCCTGATTCAGTTTACTATCTGTAAAAAGGATCTAAATATATAATTGGCAATGCCTATCTCATGCGGTTGTAGTGAGAAGTACATTACTAATATGTGTAAAAAGCTTATATAATTGTGAACTATTATTATTATACATCTGCTCTATTACATCTGCTCTATATTTTCTCAATACATCCCACTGAAATATTTTCATTTACATAACTCACATTGTTTTAAACACAAATTAATTATTGTTGCCCATCCCTTCCCCTGAAAAATGCCTAGCTATGAACAGTATTGTCTGCACCTTTACTTTCTGTGCAGCATTATAATTGGTATTTTATACATCCTATAAAAATGTATTTGTCACATACATGTAGTAGCCCATATGATTGATAGGAGCCATAGAGGTGAGAAAGGATGTTAAGTATTAAGAATAGACTGTTTGAATCAATTACCCTTGGGGAGATGGAACCTAGAATCATCTGTATTAGAGTGAGGTTTGAAGTGTTTGAATCAATTACCCTAGGGGAGATGGAACCTAGAATCATCTCTATTAGAGTGAGGTTTGAAGACCTCAAATTCAGGGTCTTAAGTACAAAATAATTTTGAATTTCAAAAAGAGGGCAAAGACAAGAACCTTATTTGAACCGAGTTCTAAATGTAGAGCATTGCACGGATAGGGAGAGAGATGGTCTCTGAACTAGAGATGGAAAGTGAAGAAAAAGCAAATAGAAACCAAATCGGAAGATTTCAATTGTCAGCAAATGGCAAACTGAGTATTCTGGGAGCAAATCCCTGCTGCCAAATAAATAGAAATGCTAGATAATATATTTTTAAGAAATGGTTATAATAAATGGATAGTGAGTGAAATGACAAAGTAAGATAACTTTCCAGGCCGGGTTGGCGGGAGGAAGAATAAATATGAAGAGGAAAACACAAAACTGAGGGATATGCCTGAAGGTATTTGTAATATCAGGAATAGAAAACTGGTGTTTAACTACTACTCCTGGAATGTTAATAATTCTTTGAGCTCTTCAAAAATAGAAAGCTGGAACTGAAAATTCCACCTGAACACAGATCTCAGAATATTTTTCTTTCTATAAAACAATATGATAGAAAAAAATAATAATTCTATCAGCAAAGTAAAAAAGCCAACATTTTTTCTCCTTGTCTTAAATTTAAGTGAAAAACCATATTGAAAACCAGCCCCTGGAATTCAAAATGCAGCTCTGCTCTCATCTGCATTTAGCATTTCAATGTATAACACTTGCATAAAGAAGAAAATCCCAAGTGCATGCATTAATTTAAAATCTGTTGAACTTGGTAATCTGCAGAGGATGATGTAAATCTGATATGGAGAAAGTAACCATAAAACAAATCCCTTGAGATGCCCAATTAACTGCCTAAAATTCTAAGTTCAAGCACAAATATATGTGTGTGTGTGTGTATGTAGGTACGTGTATACATATAGAAACTTGTCCCCATAATTTTGACTTGGAATAAATAAATGATCTTTAGACTTATCTTCTCAGAATCTACATATATTGAAATAGTAAATAATTATGGTTAATATATTTGAAGAAAAATACATTTATTATATGTCTAAGAAACAAGATTATATGTCTGAGAAACAAGATTATATGTCTAATAAACAAGAAACCATTAAAAATGACCAAACATATTAAAAAGAAAATTGTAATAGTTTTTCTAGAAAGGAAAAATGAAATCAGTGAATTAAAAACACCTCTATAAATCATGCTGCTATAAAGACACATGCACACGTATGTTTATTGCGGCACTATTCACAATAGCAAAGACTTGGAACCAACCCAAATGTCCAACAATGATAGACTGGATTAAGAAAATGTGGCACATATACACCATGGAATACTATGCAGCCATAAAAAATGATGAGTTCATGTCTTTGTAGGGACATGGATGAAATTGGAAATCAACATTCTCAGTAAACTATCGCAAGAACAAAAAACCAAACACCGCATATTCTCACTCATAGGTGGGAATTGAACAATGAGAACACATGGACACAGGAAGGGGAACATCACACTCTGGGGACTGTTGTGGGGTGGGGGAAGGGGGGAGGGATAGCTTTAGGAGATATACCTAATGCTAAATGACGAGTTAATGGGTGCAACACACCACCGTGGCACATGTATACTTATGTAACTAACCTGCACATTGTGCACATGTACCCTAAAACTTAAAGTATAATAATAATAAAATAAACAAAACACCTCAATGAACAAAATAGAAGCGAATTAATAACAAGTTTAAAAAAAGACAATAAATAACACAAAATACAAGCAAAATACACAAAAAAAGTGAAAAATTTAAGAGATAATGGTAATGACTGTGGGTGTACTGGAAACAATATAAGGCACCAAACTTCAGATTCAAGAAGTCTAGTGAATCTCCACAAATAAAAATAAACAGAAATTCCTGTCTAGGCATATCAGCCCCGAAAGTCTTAGGAAAATCTAGAAAGGGAGAAGAAAAGCAGATGACTGGCAGATTTGCATTAAGATGATATATTAACAGCAAAAATATTTGTCTGAACACAGTGGGAAAATAACTTCAAAGTTATAAGATAAAATTACCATGTACTATTAGTGATATGTTCTATAATTTAACAACAGGAATTGAGAACTTACTACCAGCAGACTTTCGATTTAAAAAATTCTATAATTTTTTCCAGGAAGAAAATAAATAATCCCAAAAGAAAACTGTGAAATACAAGAAGGAAGAGTCTACACAGAAAAGTGTAAAAGTTTAACACCAGCAAGTGTTTATCTATGGATGAACAAAACACATTAAACAAAACAAAAAAGACTAAGTGTAAGTAGATGCCAATAGTAGCATAGAATCCATCAGTGGAATACTGAAATACTAAGCATCCTAAAGTCCTTAAATTGTCTTAAAGTTGGATAAGAACAATGGATAAATTTAGATTTTTAAGTGGTATCTTAAAATTTAAAGGTAAAAATAAAACGATAAAGTAAAACAGGCAAATAATAGTTAATACAGATGAGGGACAAAAATAAGTAAAAAGGTAAAACTATACCAAAAAAAGCATATAATAAAAAAGAATAGATAAGGTATTCAAAATGCAAATCAACAAAATAAGTTGACAGGTTTTAAACCAAATATATGATAGTAAATTGGGTTTAGAAGATGTTCTTAATCCAATTATGTATATTTAAAAAGAAAAAATATAATAAACATTATCCAGAGGAGTAAGAGAGTAGAACTATTCCCTTTAAAACACAATAGGCCGGGCACGGTGGCTCACGCCTGTAATCCCAGCACTTTGGGAGGCCGAGGCGGGCGGATCACGAGGTCAGGAGATCGAGACCATCCCGGCTAAAACGGTGAAACCCCGTCTCTACTAAAAATACAAAAAATTAGCCGGGCGTAGTGGCGGGCGCCTGTAGTCCCAGCTACTTGGGAGGCTGAGGCAGGAGAATGGCGTGAACCCGGGAGGCGGAGCTTGCAGTGAGCCGAGATCCCGCCACTGCACTCCAGCCTGGGCGACAGAGCGAGACTCCGTCTCAAAAAAAAAAAAAAAAAAATACAATACAGATATGTCTTCTATTACTGATTCTATTTATGGTAGTGGTGGTTTTAAGCAGCAGAAAAAAATACATGTTTTATTTATTTATCCCCATGGATATTTAATTTGCCTGCAAAAGAAAAAAAAAGGTAATCTAAATACAAATCATTAGAAGTAATAAGTAATAATAGCCACAGTATTTAGTATAAAGATAAACGTATCTTAGGATTAAGTGTATGATAAAATGAGTAAGTAAAGAGATAAAATAGGGAATCTTATGCATCTACAGTTCAGTTTAAAATATTGTTTTTAAAATGATACCAATTAAATAGTCAGACAAAAAAGATACCTAGGAATAAATCTTACAAAAGATGTTCATAGCTTTTACGGGGAAAAAAATGAAGTTACTGAAACAATAAATAAAACCAAAATAAATGGTGCAATACATTATAATTATATATATGAGAAGACAGGATGGAAATGATGTACATTTCTCACATTAATCCATAGTTTAAAATATTAAAGAAAGTATTATAAGTTTGAGAACCTAATAAGCTTATCCTAAATATTACACAGAGCAACACAAAGTCCAAGAAGGACAAAAATAATTTGAAAACAAACAGGGCTGATGAACTCATCTTACCTGATATGAGCTAGAAAAATCAATAAAGTGAGGTATTGGTGCAATGATAAACAAATAATTTGAGTGGATTACAGACACACAGAGCCCATGCATATATGAGTATTGGTACATGCCCTTTGTGTAGTTCAACACTGAAGCAAAGGATGAGATTTAAGAAAATGGTTGTGGTACAGTTGTTTCTGAAGCTTAAACCACTTGGGAAAATCAACTGGTTTGGATTAAACCACTATATTCAAAAGCCACCTTTTGTAAAAAATAAAATAATATAAGCATTTATCTTTATAACAGGAAAATAGGGGAAATGCTTTAATTAGGGAAAAAACAGCCAAACCATAAAATGAATATCAATATCTTTGACTTTACCTCATACTTCAAAACATAGAAAAAGGTAAACAATCAAACACCTATAAACCAACAGAACAGAGAAGAGAGAATCCAGAAATAAATACATCAATTTATAGTCAATTTATTTTTGACAAAGACATCAAACATGCATTGGAAAAGCACACCCTCTTCAATAAATAGTTCTGGAAAAATTTGATATTCATATGCAGAAGAATTAAAATAGACCCCTATCTCTTACCATACACAAAAATCAACTCAAAATGGACAAAAACTTAAAAGTAAGACCCAAGACTATGAAACTATTAGAAGAAAACAGGATAAATGCTTCATGACATTGGCTTTGGCAAAGATTTTTTTGGATGAGACTTCAAAAGCATAGGCAACAAATGCAAACATAGATAATGGGATTATATCAAGCTAAAAGGCTTTTGCACAGCAAAGGAAACAATCAACCTGAAGAGTGAAGAGAACCTGTAAATTTAGAGAAAATGTTTGCAAACTATTCATCTAACAAGGGATTAATACCCAGGATATACAAGTAACACAATAACTCAACAGTAAAAACAAACACACAAACAAATAATCCAATTAAAAACGGGCAAAGGATCAAGCATTATATTCATCTGAATTTAGAGGGCTACTTGGTTCATTTCTTTCCCTGGTAACTGGACTTCGGTAGTAGCAACAACATACCACTGTGTCCAGAAGTTAGGAATCCACCTGGGAACTCAAAGAATGATTTTAAACCCTAAGTCTATGAAAGGCTTACCAATGTGGCAGAGGATAATAACAAAAATAGCCAATCAGTTGTTTTCTTTCTCTTCTTTCACACTCTAATGGACTATCTTTTCTATCCCATTCAGATGTTTGTTGTTGCTTTAGGAATAAAGTTTCTGATTAGTGTTGTTGTTGTTGTTGTTTTAAATGGGCAAATAATCAGAACAGACATTTCTCAAAAGAAGACACACAAATGGCCAACAGGTACATGAAAACTCATGAACAGGTACATGAAAAGCTGCTCAAAATCACTAATCATCCGATAAATGCAAATGAAAAATGCATTGACATATCTCATATCAGTTAGAATGGCTAACATGAAAAAGATAAAAGTAACAAATGCTGCCTAGAATGCAGAGAAAAGGGAACTTTTATACACTGTTGGTGGAAATGTAAACTAGTACAGCCATTATGGAAAACTTACAAAGATTCCTCAAAATCTAAAATTAGAACTACTCTATGATTGAGCAGTGCCACTAGATATCTATTTAAAGAAAAGGAAATTAGTATGTTGAAAAGATATTTGCACCCCCACGTTTATTGCAGCACTATCCACAGTAGCTAAATATGGAATCAACCTGTATCCATCAACAGATGAATGGATAAAGAAAATGTAATATGCATACATAATGGAATATTAATCAGCCATAAGAAAGGATCAATTCCTGCCAAACCCAGCAAGTTCCATCATTCTATAGCATTGTATGGTGACATTAGTTAGCATTAACTCGTATTATTTTTTCAAACAGCTAGAAGAGAAAATTTTGAATGTTCCCAATACAAAGATGATAAATGTTTGATGTGCTGTTATGCTTAATGTCCTGATTGATCAGTATACATTGTATACATGTATCAAAATATTACTCTGTACCTAATAAATATGTAAAATTATTACATGTCAATTAAAAACTTTAAAAAGCAAAATAACTGTCACCTAGTCAGCAGAAAAAAAACAATAAGCACAAAAAATTCTGGGCATGGGGGCTCACGCTTATAATCCCAGCACTTTGGGAGGCTGAGTCAGGAGGATTACTTTAGCCCAGGAGTTCAAGACCAGCCTGGGCAAAACAAGCATTCTTCGACTCTACATTTTTTTTTTTAATTAGCCAGGTGTGGGAGTGTACACTTGTAGTCCCAGCTACTCAGGAGGCTGAGGCAATAGGATCACTTGAGCCCAGGAGTTTGAGACTGCCATGAACTATGATTGCATCACTTCACTCCAGCCTGGACAACAGAGCAAGACCCTGAATATTAAAAAAAAAAAAAAAGAAATAAAGAAAAGAAAAAAGAAAAAAAAGAAGAATAGCCTCAATTTGAGGGACTATATTTAGGACACATTTAAATAGTGAAGAATAATTACCAGAATTATCTATTAATATATTTTCTCCTACATTTTTCCTGATAATAGGAAAAAGGCAAACAACGTATTAGAAAATCAGCAAATATACATCAAGTATTTAACCTTATAAGAAACAAGGATGGCAGAATGACCAATCACATATAAAAGTTTTTCTCTATTATTTTTAGCAATTTAAACAACACAAAATAACGATGAGACATATCTTTTTAAAAACCAACATATTGAGAAAAAATTGAAATCTGACAATAACAATTATTGGTGAGGGTACAGCACAACATGAAATTTTATATGCTACTAGGAGAAGTATAGTTTGAGATAGCCATTATAGTGAACATTTCCTCAAAACCTATTATTACTTTTATTATTATATTCTTGTATTTTTTAAGCATAATTCTGAATGGTTGAATTCAGGGAGGTAGGATGCTGGGTATGTGATTGCTTAGTACAAGCAGAAAATAACTCTGCTTAGCATAAATCATTTTCTGAAATGAAGACACATAATCTCTCACGTGCTCTCCCTGCCTCCCATTCTAGCTCTCTTGAGATCACTTTCAAACACTGACATGTCTGATGATCTTAAAGACTTACTTATACTAGCTAATCTCCTGGGTTCTGGAGTGCCTATTTCTGTGATGTGCCTCCATAGGAATTATTTAAACTAATTTTGCAGACATAATAAATACCATAAATAAAGGCAGAGTTTAGCTGTTCTTTTTAAGCTTTTGTTTTCAAATACAGAAATGCCCCTTTTTTTCTCTTCACTGAAAATTTGACTATGTGCTCACTTCCGAGGCTTTTATATAATAATACAAATTATTATGCATACAAAAGCAAGATGAGATAGTATAACCACTATAGCCTATATTTTTCCTATTTTAAACCAGAGCACAGCAAATAGTTTTGCTGAAAACAGATAAAATCAAAGAATCATAAAATTACTAGAGCCAGCTATTGAAAATGTAAATGTGATAATCTAATTGTAATAATTGGTTAGCCTCATTTATAAATGAGAAGTCTGAGCTCTCACAGCCACTTAGTTCAAGAGTGAAAACCATGTAGCAAGTCCTGCTGCTTCCCCTGGAATCCTCCCATTGCACATCAACTCCCTTCAGTTAAATTAGTATTCAACTCAGTATTTTACTGGATTCAATAATTTGCTTGGACTTAACCGGAAAATTCAGTCAAGAGGGTCTAAACTAAAAAAAAAAAAAAGTGGTATATTAAAATTTGGCCAGCACTCCTGAATATTGATGAAACACCTGAGTGGGCAGTATAGGTAAAAGGGGTCATAGACTATGAGATAATTTGTACACTTCATGGGGCTTGATAATATGCATGACTGTAAACATTACAGTTTCCTCAACTGTAAAATTGGTGCTTACACACAGAGCCTGTTCAGAGTCCAGCAGGCATGTGATTTGTGAGGGTCCTACACTCACTGATAAAGCATTCTTTGTCCTTTTGGGTCTCATCAGTTCTCAGTCTCAAACTTGTTTAGGGAATGGAACTGGTGAACTAGTGCACTTCTTTATATTAGGGTACAAATGCTTTTTAAGGGATTGTCATTTTCGGTTGTCACCTTGTCACTTTCAAGATGATTTTGCAGTTTGGTTGGGAATAAAATGTTAAGAGAATAAATAATGATAGTGTGTGAGCTATAAAGAAACAATGGAGAGAAAAAATTTAAAGTAATCAATATAATAATAAAAATATGCAATAGAGATGTCATCCTATTTTCATATCCAGAAAGATCATATATAACAGTGTATATAGTCATTCTGTCCATAATTAAACTACTTAGTGAGATTAAAAATATATTTTTGAATATCTAATTATGCCTTAAGCTTTTATATATTGTATTCTCCAAGAAGGGCACAAAGAGAGGACAAATACCAGTTTTAAGGAAATGATAGAACTACTAAGCTTATTTATGATTTTTGCTCAAGAATTATAAGACTGGGTTGGGCATGGGGGCTAACACGTGTAATCCCAGCACCTTGGGAGATGAGGTGGAGCATTGCTTGAGGCCAGGAGTTTGAGACAACCCTGGTCAACATAAAGAGACCCCATCTCTATTAAAAAAAAAAATCACAAGACTGGAAAGCCCCTTCATAAGGATAGTGACTGAATAGAACTAGGCATAGGATAGAGGTTGGTGTAAAATAAGGAAAAACACAAAATAAACTTAAACTTTGGACTGAGAGAACCTAAATCAGATTTACACCAATCGGATTCCTTGATCCTTCTGAGTAAATCTAATTGAGAGTCGGAAGACCACATACCAGTGATAACATGATATAGTCAGATATCGTGATATAATATGATATCAGGGAGACATTCATGATAGTACGAATATATGATATAATATATGATGCCAGTGATAATATGATATGAGTTAGATATCATGATATAATATGAGCCAGGGAGACATTCGTGGGCAGTAAACCACTTGACCTCTTATTAATTCAAAGTCATTAGAAAATTGTCTTTAATTCTCAATGTCTTCACCTGAAATGGAGATATTTATCTATACAGTGAGACTTGAGGAGAATTTAGCTTATATGCAAAATACATGGTAGTTATTTGTCAGAATGTTGGATAGTTGACTATCATTCTGCTTGAGAATACGGAATTGTGTAAATGGAAATTAACGGTGCCTACGTAGGATTCTCAGCTGGTGAGATCTTCCCACTGAAATCCTCAAAATCTGAAAGACACTCAAAATACTATTCTCTACTGCCTTAGTATAGTACAACTACTAAGTAATTATTTGGGAAAAATATTAGTTTCTCCCTTTATCTTTAATAGGCCTCTGGTTTTATAATACATTAAGTTCCTAGTATATTAGTGTGCAAGAGACTATAGTATATTTTTTCTTTTTTTGTTTGGGACTGAGAGAAAAAAGGGGGAGTGTGTGAAGAGCGACTATTTTATTGATCCAAAAATACTTATATTATTCACATTTTGACATGATTGAAAATGAATTGTGCTTTACAATTTATGGTTTCTTGCAATTGCTGACAGATAGGAGGCAGTCTAGATTGGTTGATATTCTTAGTGTCAAGAGTGTAACCCATCCATGCTTCAGTCAACAAACCATTTAGGGTCTACTTGAGAATGAAATATCAGTGCTAATTTTCATCTGTAACCTCTGCTGACAACATCAAAACTCACAGAGTAAGATGTTAACACATCTTGGAAGACATGATGCAAAGAGCAAGTTTTTCTAAAATTCATCTGGAAAATCAACTCACTCTGGTGATTTGGAAAATTAGTAAACTGAGACCTGAACCTCCTTCTTATCCCAGCAGGATGAACTCCATCTGTGGTAAGCTTTCCATGGATTTGGTGGCTTCTTCCCATCAGGGTAACATCCCAAGGGTACTAAAACCTCCAGGTGTTAGGCAACTGGCATTTCCAGACAAAATTTGAGCTGACACTCAAATCTAGACTACCTAGTCCTAAAGCCATCTATTTGTGCTCCCACTAAGAATGCCATTTGTCACTATTGCCCTTTGAGAAGTGGGAATAACAGGATGAAGAAGGTTCCCTCCACTAGATCACAGACCCACTCTGCATGTATAGCAGAGCAAAATGTCCCTGGTACTTCTCTCAGTGGGACAAGAGGAAGATTAGGAAGCCTGATTCTTCTCATCTTTAGGAGTCTTTTGCTTGCAAATTTCCCATGGAAGCCTTTTTCTTCTGACCTTATATGTGATAGTGAAAATTTCTCAGAGTCTTAGCTGACTGCAAATTAACCAATTTTATAGAAAATAATAACTTAGAGAAAATAGTGGAGCGTTGACCAAGGCTGCATCACTAATGGTATTGATGGAACAGAGGATGATCTCATAAGCAAGATAAGTATGACGGAGATTCCCTGCCACAAGATTTGGGTTTTGAATGTGAAGAGGCTTTAGTTATACCTTAGTAAATTATTTTGCTAAGAATTTATTTTGTGTATGATTACACTTTTGTTTAAATAACTGTAAACAAGTTCATTCAATGAATACAAAATAGAAATGCTAAGAGATTTTTAAACAACGTTGAGTTATGGTTTAACCTGAAGCCTTATTATTTCTTAGTGACTCAGAAAATTTGAAACATGATTATACTTGGTAGCATCATAAATTTCATGAAATACACAAAAACCCTATGATAAGGAGAGTAGCAACCTCAACAATATGACCACTTTCGTTTGTAAATAATTCAATTTTATTAAAATAATTTCAGGGTCATGGTGCCCATTTGCACTCAAAGCACATGTTGTAGCCACCGGCAGAGCAGAGACACCAAAAATTGGAACAAATAAATGATGAAGATTTTGATGTTAAGATACATGAAGTAATTATTATTGAAAAAATCAGAATTGCTAGATATCCTAACAGTAATGTTGAAACTAACTACTGATTTAGTTATATGTAAGTATGGAGTTAGAGCAGATGAGGCATGGTAATAATTTGACTGTATATGCATACCACTAAAGCTCTTTAATCTGTGGTTTCTACTATTTCTAGAAAGCATTTGGTTTATGATTACCCAAACTAATAAGGTAATTGAAAGGAAAGTAGAAAAATAAATGCTGACCTGCTAAAATTACAGAAATATATATTAGATGTATCTCCATGGCAACCTTTTCCCCCAAACCCCCATGCCCTTAACTCATGCCATGAGATTGTATCTTACAACTCAAATATCTTGCTTGCTCAGAGTGGTCTATGTTAGTGTACATTCCCAGATATTGAGAAGAGAAAATTAGAGGCATTGCAAAAGTGATAATTCCTAGCAATGGCTATATCCTCAAACCCAACAAAATTAAATAACAAAGTTATTTTTCTTTTCTTTTTACCTATTATTCTACTTCCCACCCAAATCCCATAGCCTTCTTCTGGCTTTCTTATTTAGGCTGTAATTGCTTTTGCATAATTCTTAAATTTATTTTTCTTATGGAAGTTATTTTGGCTTATTGACCTTTTTTATGTTGATTATTTCTTACCTTTGGGCAATTCGAAGTTTTCCCTGCCTAATCTATCAACTTCTAATCTTCATAATGGTTATTTCTCTGGAGTATAGTTATGATTACACTAGCTAGTGTTTCTCATGAAATATATGACATATTTTCATAGGCTGAAAAAACAGAAAAGATAATTGATTTTATGTAACTCAAATTTCTATGAGTGTTTTTGTTTGAGTGTCAAGAATTCAAATCACAACCCTATCATTAACTACTATCTGTTTGATTTTGGGAAATTTAGAAATTATTTACCAGCTTCTCATGTGTTCACACATTGTATTGTTTTTGATGATCGTATGTCTTTATATTAGTGAGTACTTTTGGAATGAATGCACACGGAAACAGGAGCAAGTTTTTGGCATTTTGGCAGTTGCTGCCACTGAAACAGGGCTTGAATCTCAGAACTCCAAGATGTGCATTATCTACCCTAACGCGGAACTGTTCTCAGGAAAAACCTGATCTCAAGATGCATTAATCAGAAGGCTAATAGGAGGACTGGTTGGGATTCTTAGCTTTGGGGTACCCCATTATCCCTTACACTCAATAGCACTATCAAAATATGGTACAGAAACTTTCAGAAAATAAGGTCGTTTCTGGATTAGCTCTCTCCATCCCTGGATGAAAGAAATCTGAAGGCAATAGACGAGTGTTTTCCTATATTCTCAGGATAGGGCTGTGGAGTCTAAATGACTATAGAACCTCCAGTGTTTCATCATTATTATCTGATGCCAGATTAAATAGATGTGGTGTGGGGTGTGTGTGTGTGTGTGTGTGTGTGTGTTTGTCGTGTTTAATCCAGCAATGATTATAGAGCTTCTCAGGCCAAGTCTCTGTTATTTTCAAAACACAATTGCAAGTTGAAAGGGCTAAGTTTTCAACCTACTTCAGTATAGATGAAGAGGTATCTGCTCCAAATTAACAACACTGCAAAGAGTGTCAAGATGTTTTCACCCTGGTGGATAGAACCTAAAGACTTTCTGCACTGTAGATTTAAACTTGTCCAGTGGCAGAACATTCTTTATGATACCACTAAATTTTAAGTACAATGGCTCTAGCAATGACATGGTTTACACGAGCAATTCCCCTTTTACAATACCTGTAAAAACTGTGCTAAAATGTGAATAATCTGGACTAATGAGAACTAATTCCTTAAATAAATAAAATCATGATTTTCCAAAAGGGCTCTTTATAAAACATGCTTACAATTACACACTGAAATATTGAACCATGTGAATATTAATACTAGGAAACACAATAATCCTACAATGTGCAACTTGTTCAGATATTTATGCTTCATAAGAGTCAGTAATGACAGGTAAAACATGTAAGTAGCTTTTGATATCCCTGGTTATAGTATAAAGAGTGTTGTTTTCTATTCATTTGTGGTGTCAGTAGTGTTAATAAAATCATTTATGCAAATAATTTTACAAATACAGGTTTGTATAGAATAACACATATAAACTTATAGAACAGATTCTCTAAGTGCTTAAGGGACACTGAAATTTGAGATTTATTTATAATCTCTACAAAGCCAACTAACAGACTGTAATTATGATTTTATGTCCTAAATTTTTAAAAAATCCTAAAAATGCTAGTGATATATAGAGTACAGTTTGAAGATCAATTTTTACTGTTCAAAGAAATTTTACTTGGCTTACCACATTTCTTCTTAGAAAATATCCCCTTGCAGCAGGTAGAGTTGGTGTTATTTACAGTTTACATTACATAGTTGATGGCCAGAGAGCTACTGTGTACAAGAGGTAGGGCTTGCCCCTTGACCTGACTCCCAGGCATCTGTGCTTTCCATTGGAATCATCTTTGTCTGACAACTCTGCTGGAAACCTTGCTGGCCAGAGGAAGATTTTTGAATGACTTTGGAGATGATACAACAGGTGATGTTCACAGAATAATCCTCTGTAATCATCTGCCTGTTAGCAGTACCTCCATCTCTCCCCTTCAAGAAAGTCTATCAGAATGTGAATCAGGAAGATGCTATTAGAGTTTGATCTGGTGAATCTCTCATATTGTTACCTTAAAATTATTAATCTTTATTGCTTTGAGCACCAAACACTTTCCCTTTGGACACTAAAATAATGAAATTTTCATTAACCAATGTTGGGAAGTAGGAGATTGGAAAATCAAGACTTCTTATTATTGGCCTTTAAAGAAATGCACCAAGCCTTCAGATGTAAGTTGGGGAAGACTTTTAAAATATAAGCAATTTAGATGATAGCCTTTTTTTCCCTTCTATCACCATTATCTGTTGTCCCAACCTAGAATAACCTTGGAATTTGGTAAAGAGGAGAAGGAATAATTGGGCAGAGAAGAGGATGCAATGGACCATCTGCCCTCCAACTCACACCTCTGGACTACAACCCGGTGGGAGAAGGGACAAGATACCTGGGGAAATTTAAGGGAAAATAACTAGTCCTACCTCAGTCCAGGCAAGAATGCCTGTGCTGAGCACATAATTTGCACGATTGATTCTCAATCTTTTTGATCTCAGGAGCCATTTTCTTCTTTGAAAATTATTATTATTATAGATCTGAAAGAGTTTTATTACATGGTGTGTGTGTGTGTTTGTGTGAAATTAAAACTAAGAAATTGTTTAAAACACAAGAATATGTAAATACTCATTTCATTAGTCACAAAAGTGATAATGCGATTACATGGCGTGTAGTCTCTGCAAAATTCCAGTAAAATCGGCATATAACACCTTAGTATTATTATAAGAAGGATTCTGACCTCACAGACCCCTGAAAGGGTCTCAGGAAACCTCAGCATTCTCTAGACCATTCTTCAAGAACAGTTGCTATAGAGGGCCCTACATGTCTCTGTCTCTCACACATGCACGCGCACACACACACACACACACACACACACACACACACACCTGAAACATAGATACCATTTTCTGTTTTTGGTTATGTGAAAAAGATTTTAGAAAATTTGGTGACCAAATGAGTACTACAGGAAAGCAAGGTGAATTTAGGACTTATCTTTACCCTAGAGTATACAGAGCTCAGACCCCAGGAGTGTGAGCTCCATACATCAGGCCAGGAGTATGGAGAAATCCACAGCTTCTGCCCTGACAAGGCAGAGAAAAAGATCTTGCTTTGGCTTAATATTAGCTGTCTACAATCACCAGAGCCATTGTCTAGGTAGACTGAGTTCATCAGACAACAGAACGTGGTGCGTCTTCCTTCCTCTCTGTTAGATTTGGGAGGCACTTAGGACCACTTGGAAATACTGGGTCAGAACATTTAGGTAAAGAGCAGGAAAACATCTGCTTGATTCAGCTACCCAAAAACCTAATTCAGGTATTAGTCCATTCTCAGATTGCTATAAAGAGCTATCTGAGAGTAGGTAGTTTATAAAGAAAAGAGGTTTAATTAGCTCACGATTCTGCAGGCTGTACAGAAAGCATGGTTGGGGAGGCCTCAGGAAACTTACAGTCATGGTAGATGATGAAGGGGAAGCCAGAGCCTCTTACATGGCTGGAGCAGGAGATGAAGCACCTGTGAAGAAGGAGGTGCTACACACTTTTAAACAACCAGATCTCATGAGAACTTACTCAATATCAGGAGAACAGCAAGGGGGAAGTCCGCCCCCATGAGCCAATCACCTCCCACCAGGTCCCTCCTCCAACACTAGAGATTACAATTTGACCTGAGATTTGGGCAGGGACACAAATCCAAACCATATCAGTCCCTATCCTGGCTGTAGCACACCCAGTCACTATCTGGAATCCTCAGCTCAACCCAGCTTTTGTTCTGCTCTGTCCCAAGGGATCAAAACTATTGTTCAGGGCTAGGTTTCCAGAGATCAAGACTCCTTCTGCCTTGGTTATATGAAGGCTCTCATAAACATTAATCTCTTCAGACCTGGGGTAGGAAGAAGACTATGGACTTAAAAAGAAAAAAGAAAAAAAAATATATCTTCTAAATATTTTGTCATGAGGTATGTGGGTACATTTCTATACTTTCCCCAAGCCCATTAATATTTTGACAAGAAGGCAAGACAATTGAGAGGCTATTTCCTCCCTGATGTGTGTGTGTGTGTGTGTGTGTGTGCGTGTGTGTATTATATACATATATTTTTTGAGACAAGTTCTCACTGTTGACCAGGCTGGAGAACAGTGGTGCAATCTTGGCTTACTACAGCTTCCACCTCCCAGGCTCAAGTTCTTGTCTCAGCCTCCCTAGTAGATGGGAACATAAGCATGCCAACACATCTGGCTAATTTTGGTATTTTTGTAGAGACAGGGTTTCATCATGGTGCCCAGGCCAGTCACAAACTTTTGAGCTCAAGCAATCTACTCGCTTTCGTTTTCAAAAGTGCTGCGGTTGCAGGTGTGAGCCACCATGCCCATCCCCTGATACTTTTATTTTTAGTAGTCCTGCTGTGCCCCCCAACTCAACAGAAATGGTGCTGTCAAAGAAAATGATGGCAAGGTAGATCTGGATGCAACATTGACTAGGGACCACCCCCGAAATTTTTTCATGGCTTTGAAGAGATTTGTTGGAGAGCCTAATTCCTTGTAAATAATAGGAACTAGGAGTGACAGCAACATGGCCACCAAAATGCTACCAGACACAACAAATTTTACAGTGCACATTTCCCATTTTCTAGATGAAAGCAAATCTAGAGTGAGCCTCCAACCAGGGACATAGAGGAAAAAGTTGAAGCCTCATAGTATGGCCAATGGCAGGACATTTATGTAGGGGGCTGGATTAGCAAGGGAAGCCTAGTCACGAGGGGCCCAATCTCTCCAAAGCAATCACAGTTCAAAGCAAAAACCAAAAGAACTGCCAAGTTCATCAATTGTGGTAAGTACAGAGAAGTAACCAGGGGTCATACATTTTGCTCTCTCTGTCTTCATGAAGTTGTTTGATTTCTCTTACACAAAGATGCCACTTTTGGTAGAAGAAGATAGAAGGGAGGACCTGGAAATGAATATAGTGTAGTTCTGGAAAGATACCAAATAAGTCATAGAATGACTAGATTAGGCATCCTATGTCTTCCCTTAAGAGAGTTAATTATAAATTCATTAAATAAACATAAGAAAAAATTACTCTTTTATTCACTGGAGTGGTCACTGTGGAAATTTCTAATTATGTCATTAGTAACATTGAATCTTCTTTAATTTATTCAAAATCTAAGAGGTGTTAAGATACAATTTATGAGTTAGCTCTTAATTAAAACATTTAAAAAGAAGCAAACAATGCAAAGTATTGGAGGTAGAGTTTAGATTCAATAAAATAAGAGTTATTTCCCTGGATATGTGTTTTCACTAATGCTGACTTTTTCTTTTCTTTTCTTTTTACTTTTTTTTTTTTTGTGGGAGAGGTGAGGGTTCTGCTGTTGAAGATGTTTTTTCTTCTCCATTAAGGATAAGTCCAGCTTATACATTCCAGTGCAGTTATAATAAAAATCTCAGCATACCTAACACATTGAAGCAAAAAGTTTAGAATGGCACCTAGTAAATAATAAGTGCTAAACAAATATAAGTTACATTATTACTCATGCCATTGCAAATTCCTTTATCTACCTGAAATGTACTTTCACTGATCCATTTATCCCTGTCAAAATTTTCCTCATATTTTCTACCTTCAATTTGGCATTTTCTTTGAATAATTGCCTTTTACTCTCCAGGAATGAATAATAACATTCTCTCCTAAGACCTAGAAAATTTTGTACACAAATCTACTTGGACACTTAGGAATGTGCTAAAAATGTGTCTGTATAGCAGTTACAAGCCTCTCAAGGTTTTAGTCTATTCCTCACAGTGGGTGCTCAATGAACTTTTCTGAATAAATAATGAGTAAATTGTTTTTACTTTACAAAAAGTGTCTATGTGATAGCTACTTTTGGCCTGGGACCATATGATGCTATTAATCTGTTTATCTCTGATCAGATAATTGTAATGATTTTGGACTTTGGACTGTTTTCTTTCCCTAGTAGGCCAGATCCCCAATATAGAATTGAGTACCAGCAAGTTTACCATATTTCTTCCATTCAACATTTCATAATGATGACAATAATAGTAATCATATCAGATAATTTTATTTAGTTATTTTTTGAGCTAAACATTGTAATCAGGGTTTTTGGAGGATGTTCTTAATTATCATCATATAAACTCTATAATTTGAGTAGTAGTATTGATCCATTACTTGGATCCATTGTATCCAAATTAATACAAATGAATACAGTAGTAGGATTGTATCCAAAGAGAAAACCAGGCTAAAGAAGACAAATTAATTTGCCTGAGTTCACATAGCTCATAAGTAGCTCAGTCACGTTTCTACAACCAGGTCATGTTGTAAAAGGACCCCTTTAATTCCAATTGCTATATGCTATTTCAGAGACAAGCATTAATTATGAATATGATGATTCTAGTTTTTTTGCTAATTATTGAGGTAGATGTTAGCTGGTAACCTTGAAGGCTGAGTATTTATTTATAATGGAAATAACTCAAACACTGTATTTTTTCATATATAAGGCACATATGTGTGTATTATTTGCTTATATACATGATTATGAGCAAAGACAAAACGGCATAACCCATTCATTTATAGATTAGGAAACTGAGAACCAGCTATAGCAATAATAATATCTCTCATGAGATGAAACAACACCAGATAAAAAGAATCTCAGAATTATTTTTATTTGGTGGTGTTTCATCTCATGAGAGATATTATTCTATAATTTTCCTTCTTATCTCTATCTGGTTTTGGTTTTAGGGTAATGTTGGCTGAATAGCATGAATGAAGAATTGATCCTTCTAATTTTGGAAAACAATGTAGAGAATTGGTATTTTTTTTTTTAAATGTTTTGTGAAATCCACATGTGAAACTATCTGGGCCTGGTGATTTTTGGAGAAGTTATTCATTATTTATTTCATTTATTTAACAGACATAAGCTTATTTAAGTTACATATTTTTCCATGTGTAAATTTTGGTATTTTGTGTTTTTCAATTTCCATTTTATCTAAAGTTGTGGGCATAGATTAGTCCACAATTTCTTTTCTTTTGCCTGTTTAAGGCTTAGTTTGTTCTTTCTCTAAAATTCTGAGGTAGAAGCTCAGGTTTTTAATTAGAGCTTTTCTGTTTTCTATATATGTATTTAGTGATACAACTTTAAAATTTGTGTTTTATGGCTTAGAATGCGGTCTTTCTTGGTGACTGTTCATGTGAACTTGAGAATGTGTATGGGTTTTCCAAGGGCTGTGATTCTTATACTTTTTCCTTGATAAGTAAGCTGGGGTTTTTCTCCTGGCTTCTTTCAAAATTTATTCTCATTTATCTCCAGTTTGAATATAATGTGCATAGCTGTGGTTTTGTTTGGCCTTCCGTTTTCTGAGATTCCCAAATCTGTGGTTTAATGACTGTCATTGATTTTTGAAAGTTGTTGGTTACTACAGTTTCAAATGTTTCTTTTGTTTCATTGTCTCTCTTCTTTGTCATTAGACAGAAGAGTCCATCTCTGAGCTTGTACCTGCTTCTGGAACTAAATGCTTGGCCATATTTGAATGGTTCTGAGTCATTCAGTCATAATTTCCACCCATGTGGGAAACTTAGCAACATAAAATTTACTCTCATAGTTAACTGTGATTTCAAGGAATTCTAGTCAATTTATGTAAAATGGAATTCTGTCTCAGGTTATTTTTTATAATTTATCCTATCCACATTGTTTGAAGGCCAAAATTAGTGTTAGGTTGGTGCAAAAGTAATTGCGGCATTTGCCATTCAAAGTAATGGCCAGAACTGCAGTTACTTTTGCAACAACTTCATAGCTAATCCTCACAACATTTTTAAGACTGCTGTGAAGCTTTATCCTTCTATCCTTCGTTTCTTCTACCATTACTCAAAAATAAAATATTTACTTATTTGGTCATTATTATTTTATTTTACCTTCTACTAATTATTTCAAGTATATCCTAATTTGAGCTAAGATATTTAGTATTTTTTATTTTGAAATAATTATAGATTGACAGGAAGTGTCAAAGATAAAAGAAGATTCAAACAGCTTTTACTTGGGTTTTCCCAAGGTTTACCTCTCACATAATATAGTACAATATCAAAACCAGAATATTACATTGATACATATGTGAAGTTCTGTGTCATCACATGCACAAATATGTGTAAGCACTACTTTAATGAACATACAGAACTATTTCATCACCACAAAGATTTCTCTCAAACTATTGCTTTACGGTTGTACCTACCTTCTCCCCTCCACCATCCCTAATCTCTGGCAACCACAAACATATTCTTCACCTCTATAATTTTGTCACTTAAATAATGCTATATATATGGAATTGTACAGTATATGATCTTTTGAGATTTAATTCCTTCATTCAGTATAATGTCTCTGATGTTCATCTAAGTAGTTGCATATATCAATAGTCTGTTCTATTTCATTGCAGAGAATGTGATTTAGTTTGTTTAACTATTAGTCTACTGAGGGACATTTTAGTTGTTTCCATTTTTTGGCTACTATGAATAAAGCTGCTATGAGCATTCTTGCATAGGTTTTATGGGACATAACTTCTTATTTCTCTGTATAATCATTCAGGTGTGTAATTGCTGGGTCATATGTTAAGCATACATTTAGTTATTTTTAAAAATTGCTAAATTACTTTCCTTAGTGGCTATATTGTTTGACACTCCCACCTGCATAGATCTAATTTATCTTCATACTTGCCAGCATTTCGTTCTGTCATTGCTTTTATTTTAGTTTATTTGATAGGTGTGTAAATTATATCTCATTGTGATCCTAATTTGTATTTTCCTAATAGTTATGTTGAACCTATTTTGTGGACTTATTTTCCCTTTAAATGTGAAGCCTACATTTCACTTACAATGTTTAATTTTATATCTATATTTTATATCTATATTGTGCTAGTGTATGTGTTGTATGTATGTAACAAATTATCATCAGTTGACTTCCTGGCACAACACTATTCCATTCATTTAATTCCCTTTGACTATGAAATACAGGATTTTTTCTACTTGTGTAAAAGCGATGCTTTTTATTCTGTGATTTCACTAAGGAGTGAAAACTATGAACAACTATATATAGCAAAATCACAGTTATCAGATAATTAAGCCTCCTAACTAATCTAATGTTTTTAAAGCTTACTGAAGCCAGAAAAGCACAAAGAAGATTTACTGAGTGAACTGGAAGTGCACAGTCTGCAAGGTAGAGACTATTCAGGTTAAAATATATTTTTAGCAATGCAATTGACATTGTAAATTACACATAGATCTTGTAACTCCAATGCCAATTTACTATTTCTAGCTTCCAAGGAAGTAGTAATATCAAAGTTGCAGTTTTATATAAGATACAAAATATTTTTCCTTTGCCATCATATTTTAAAATAAACACATAAAATAATACATTTATCCAGAAAGATGCATTTTTACATATACAACTGGCAGTCAAATTAAATATTACAGTGACCTAAATTCTGATAACATAGCAAAATTTAATGAGTTTTTCTGCCCTTGCTTTAATTTATGTACCACAGAAAAAAAATCTAACCTCTGGACCTGTCTGACATGCAGATTAGACATTTAAGTCAAACTGTCAAGTTTATTAAAATCCAGAACTTCACAGATAACATTTAGAGGAATACTCTTATCATGCTTGGTTTTAGGTTTGTTGGCTTTCTTGTTTCCACTTTCATATTCTTTCCTCAATAGTAGTGTAATCCTAGCATGCTGTGTAGCTTAATCATCTTAGAACTTCTCTTACAGGCCTAGAGTGGCCTGTAGACATGGTAGACGATAAAGTTTCGGAGCCAGGGCTCTTAGGTTCCAATCCTGTCTCTGTCACTTACTAGTAGAAGGAATTAGGGCATGTTATTTTAGCTTTTCCATTTCCATTTTACTGTTTTCTCATCTGTAAAATAGGAAAGCAATGGTGCATAGCTCCTTCAGCTTGGGGGAGTAAAAATTGAGATAACCAATATAAAGAGTTCAAAACAGTGTCTAACATCCAGTAAAATTCTCAATAAATATTACCTATTGTTATTTTCATTTAAAATTATTACCAATAATTAATAATTGGAATTTGAAATTAAATGAAAATTAAAAACAATACTATTTATATAAGCACCCCAAAATGAAATACTTAGATATAAATATAACAAAGTAAGTACAAGATATATATGAGGACAACTACCAAATTCTGATGAAAGTAAGTCAAAAAATAACTATATCAAGAGATATTCTATGTTCACTGATAAGAAGACATGATAATGTCAAGATTTCAGTTTTTCTCAACTTTATCTAGAGACTCAATGCAATCCCAAACAAAGTTCTGCAAGTTATTTTGTGAATATTTACAAACAATTCTAAAATGTATAAAGAGAGATAAAAGGCCAAGAATAGCCAACACAATTTTGAAAGAGAAGAACAAAATTGGAGAACTGACAGTACTCGACTTCAAGACTTACTGTAAAACGCAGTAATCAAGATGGAGTGGTTTTGACGCATAGAAAAGTATGTCAACGAAACAGAATAAAAAGCCAGGCAATAGACTCACACAAATATAGTCAACTGATCTTCAGCAAGGAAACAAAGCAATGCCATGGAGAAAAGACAGTGTTTTCTATAAAACTAATAGAAATAAACATAGAGGAAATGCTTTCTGAAATTGGACTCGGCAAAAAGATCTTGAGATGGACTTCAAAAGCATAGGAAACAAAAGCAAAAACAGACAAATGGGGTTACATTAAACTAAAAAGTTTCTGAACAGCAAAATAATCAATAAAGTGAAGAGAACACCTACAGAATGGGAGAAAGTATTTAAAATCTATGAATCAGATAAGGGGTTAAATTCTAAAATATAAAAGGGACTCAAACCACTCAATAGCAAAAAGAAAACCAAATAATGTAATTTAAAAACGGGCAAAAGGCCTACATAGACATTTCTTAAAAGAGGACATGCAAATATCCAACAGATACACGAAAAATGTTCAATATCAATAATCATAAGAAAAATGCCAATCAAAACCACAATAAGATATCACCTCATCCAAGTTAGAATAGCTATAAACAAAATAATAATAATAATAATAAACAACTGCTGGTAAGGATGCAGAGAAAAACTCTTATCCAGCACTGGTGGGAATGTAAATCAGTGCAGCCTTTATAGAAAATAGTATGGAGAATGTTTAAAAAATTAAAAATACGTACCATATGATCCAGCAATTCTATTACCAGATATATATCTAAAAGAAATGAAGGAAATCAATACATCTAAGAGACATCTGTACTCACATGTTTATTGTAGCATTATTCACAATAGACAAGATATAGAATTAATCTTAATGCCCATCTACAGATGAATGAAGAAAATGTTATATATATATGTGTGTCTGTGTGTGTGTGTATGCGTGTGTATGTGTGTGTATATATGTATATATACACATATATATAACATATATGACATGTATATAAGGGGCTGACTATAAAACAGTCAACCTCTTATTCCACTAAATATAATATACATATAGGACATTATATCACTCCACTCAATATGTATATTTTTAGTGGAATAATATTCAATAATATTCAGACAAAAAAACGAAATGAAATCCTGACCTTTGTAGTAACATGGACGAACCTGGAGGATATTCTGTTAAGTGAAATAAATCAGGCACGGAAAGGAAAATACTTCATGATCTCACTCATATTTGGAATATAAAACAGTTGATTTCATAAAAGCATAGAAATATAAAATAGAATAATAGTTACCAGAGAGTGAGAAGGATAAAAGGAAGTAGGGAACCGGGAAAGCATGATCAATGGGTACAAAGTTACAGTTAGACAAGAAAAATAGGTTTTGGCTTTCTATTACACAGTAGAGTGACTATAGCAAATAATAATATAATATATATTTCAACATAGCTAGAAGATTTTGAATTTTGTCACTACAAAGAAATGATATTTAAAGTGATGAATATGGTAATTACCCTGATTTGATTATACTATGTGTACATGCATTGAGACATCACATTTACTCCCATATGTAAAAACACGTGCATTATTTTTTTGCTTAATAACAGAATAGAGTGACTATAGTTAGCAATAATGTATTGTATATTTCAAAGTAGCTGGAAGAGAGGACTTGAAATGTTACCAATAAATATGTACAATTATTATGTGTATATTATAATTTGGGTTGGCGATGACTTATTTATTTTTGAGATGGAGTTTTGCTCTGTCGCCCAGGCTGGAGTGCAATGGTGCGGTCTTGGCTCACTGCAACCTTCACCTCCCAGGTTCAAGTGATTCTCCCACCTCAGCCTCCCATGTAGCTGGGATTGCAGGCACCTGCCATCATGGCTGGCTAATTTTTGTATTTTTGTAGAGACCATGTTGGCCAGGCCGGTCTTGAACTCTTGACCTCAGGTGATTGACCCACCTTGGCCTCCCAAAGAGCTGGGATTACATGCATGAGCCACCGCACCCAGCCAGTGATGACTTTTTAGGTACAACATAGAAAGCATGATTCATAAAGGAAGTAATAAGGTAGACCTCACAAAAATTAAAAATGTTTGCTCTAATGAAAGATATGTCCAGAGAATGAGAGGGCAATTCACGGACTAGGAGAGAATATTTGCAAAACATATGTGATACAGGATTGATTGTTATCCAAAATATACAAAAATAACCTCTTAAAACTCAACACTAAGGAAACAAACAACCCAATTAAAAATGTGCAAAAGATCTGAAGAAACATCTTGCCAATGAGGAGATATGGATGGCAAGTAAGCAAATGAAAAGATGCTTAACACCGTATGTCATTAAAGAATTGCAAATCAAAACAGCAGTGAGACACCATTACAGACTTATTAGAATGGCCAAAATCCAAACCACTGACTATTCCAAACTTTGGCAACGATGCAGACCAACAGAAATTCGCATTCATTACTTGGGGGAATGCAAAATAGCACATTCATTTTGGAAAACAGATTGACAGTTTCTTACAAAAGTAAGCAGTCTTACCATAACATCTAGCAATTGTTCTCCTTGATATTTACCCAACTGAATTGAAAACATCTTCCCACAAAATGCTTGATTAGCTAAAGATACTTGATTACAGTATCTTTATTATAAATAAAGATATTATAAATAAAGATATTATAAATTACATATATTATAAATATTATATATTATATTATAATATATTTTAATATTATATTATATTATAATATATTATAGATATTATATAATATATTGTAGATATAATAGATTAGATATAATATGTAATAGATTAGATATAATTATATCTAATATATATTATATCTAATCTATTACATATTATATCTAATACATATTATATCTAATCTATTATATATTATATCTAATACATATTATATCTAATCTATTGTATATTATATCTAATATATAATATATTATATATAATATATTATATATTATATATTATATACAATATATTATATATTATATAATATATAATATATTATATATAATATATTATATCTAATATATTACATATTATATCTAATCTATTATAGATATAATATGTAATATATTATATATTATATCTAATAGATATTAGATATAATATATAATATATTATTAATATAATATATTAGATATAATATATAATATAATAATATATAATATATATTATTGGTAATATATAATATATAATTAATAATATATATTATATATAATTATTATGAATAATATATCATATATAATATCTAGTATATTATATATTAATAACATATAAATATTATATTAATAATAAATAACATATTAATATTATATTAATAATATATAATATACTAATATTATATTAATAATATATAATATACTAATATTATATTAATAATATATAATATACTAATATTATATTAATAATATATAATATACTAATATTATATTAATAATATATAATATACTAATATTATATTAATAATATATAATATACTAATATATTAAGAATATATAATATACTAATATATTAAGAATATATAATATACTAATATTATATTAATAATATATATTTATATTAATAATATATTAATTATTATTAATTAATTATTAATAATTATATAATATTGATTATATTAATATTATCAATTTAATAATATTGATTATATATTATATATTATATATTATATATTATATATTATATATTATATATTATATATTAATAATATATATTAGATATAATATAATATATTAATAATATATAAGATATAATATAATATATTAATAATATATATTAGATATAATATAATATATTAATAATATATATTAGATATAATATAATATATTAATAATATATATTAGATATAATATAATATATTAATAATATATATTAGATGTAATATAATATATTAATAATATATATTAGATGTAATATAATATATTAATAATATATATTAGATGTAATATAATATATTAATAATATATATTAGATGTAATATAATATATTAATAATATATATTAGATGTAATATAATATATTAATAATATATATTAGATGTAATATAATATATTAATAATATATATTAGATGTAATATAATATATTAATATATATTAGATGTAATATAATATATTAATAATATATATTAGATATAATATAATATATTAATAATATATTAGATATAATATAATATATTAATAATATATAAGATATAATATAATATATTAATAATATATAAGATATAATATAATATATTAATAATATATAAGATATAATATAATATATTAATAATATATATTAGATATATAATATATTAATAATATATATTAGATATCTAATATCTATTAGATATCTAATAGATATTATATAATATCTAATATATATTAGATATATTATATATAATAAAGATATAAATAAAATATTATAAAGATATTATAAAGATCTTTATTATAAATAAAGATACTGTTATCTTTATAATAAATCGTTACTGTTATCTTTATTTATAATAAAGTATCTTTATTTATAATAAAGATACTGTAATCAAGTATCTTTATTTATAATTACCAAAACTTGTTACCAACCAAGATGTCCTTCAGTATATAAACTAATAAATAAACTGTGATACATCCAGACATTGGAATAGTATTCAGTGCTAAAAACTAAAGAGCTATCAAGCCATGTAAATACATGGGGGAAACTGAAATGTATATTACTAAGTGAAAGAAGGTAATCAGAAAGGGCCACATTCTGTATGATTCTAACTATTTGACAATCTTGAAAAGGGTGTGGAGTTAGTGAAAAGATCAGTGGTTGTCAGGCACTGTGGGGTCTGGGAACGGTGAATAGGTGGAGTGGAGAGGATTTGTATGGCTGTGAAACTATTCCGTGTGATACTGTAAGAGTGGATACATGCCATTATACATTTGTCAATGCCCATACAATGTACAACAACAACAGTCAAACTTCATGTAAATTATGGACTTGGGTGATGATGATGTGTCAATGTAGGTTTATCCATTGTAAAAAAATATATGACTGCTATGGAATGTTGATAGTGGTGGAGGTTGTGCAGGTGTGTGTAGTATGTAGAAACTCTGTATTTTACATTCAGTTTTTATGTGCTGCCAGAGCTGCTCTAAAAAGTAAAGCAAGACTATGAAAGTGAGTGAAAGAAAAAAAGCAACATTTAAAAAATAATTATGTAATATACAATTTTATACATACAATCACATGAAAACTTTACAATGCTTTTGACTAGGGTCTGATGAAGAGTCAGGATGCTGACTTATGCTTCTTTTAACTAAGCCTTACTTTTTCATTCATGTGATCCCCAATTTTGCTCAGTCTTTTCCAGTGAGCAGATTTTATAGGTTCTTTCTTGATGCCTTTTCAATTCAGAATCATTAATGACATTGTTCACCTTACATGTTCTTTATTGCTATGTATACTTTAGTGGGGGTTGGAAGGACAAAGGAGAATCTGTTGTTATTTCATTGTTGTTATTTCATTGCATTTGAAAAACCTCTTCCCTCATCCCTTTGATTTGATTGCTACTGCATCATTTTAATACATTTATTTATTTTTAAAAGCATAGCTGTTTTCATTTTACATCAATATTTTATAACATTATTTTGTCCAACTTTTAAATTTAGTTTAAATACTTTTTTTGAGTTTTGAAAAATGTATATGGTTGGTGACTACTACTACCATCAAAATGTAGAGCAGTTCCATCCCTTCCAAAAATTTTTCATCATAATATCCCCTTATGATAATACTCTCCCCATAAGCTAAACACCTACAAAACACCTATCTTTTCCCAATTCCCATAGCTTTCTCTTTTGAATAGAATTCCAAAATATACAGCCTTTGAATCCACCTTCTTTTGCTTATGTTAATGCATTTAGGATCCATCCACATTGTTTGTTCCTTGTATCAATGTTATGTTCTTTTTTATTTTTAATAGTATTTCAGGGTTTTGGTGTATCACAGTTTGTTTATTCATTCTCCAGTTGAGGGACAGTTGAGTTTCCTTATGTTTATAAATTAAGCCACTTTGAGTATTTGTGTACAGGTTTTTGTATAAATATAGAATTTTATTTTGGTAAATATCTATGGCTGTTCATATGGTAAATGTATTACTAACTGCGAAACTGTTTTCCTAAGAGGCTGTGCCATTTTGCATTCCCACTTGCAAAGCATGCGAGTTCCAGCTGTTCAACATTCTAATTAGCATTTGGTATTATCAGGTTTTAATTTTGTCAATACCAGTAAGTGTGTTTGGGTATTTTCCTCCAGTTTATGGTTTTTAATTCTTTACATCATGCTTTTCACAGAGCAAAAGATTTTAATTTTGATGAGGTCCAATTTTTTATATGTCATGTTTTTATTGTCATATATAAAAATATTCAGCCTAACCCAGTCATAGATTTGTTTTGTTTTTTTAAATACAAATTATTTTACATTTAAATTTATATATATGATCCGTTTTAATTTTTTTTAACCAGTAAGGGGTAGGTTTTTTTGTGTGTGTGCATATAATCAACCAATTTTCCCAGGAGTATGTTTTCAAAAGTATATTATTTTTCCATTTAATTGCTTTTGTATGTTTGTCAAGAAACATATTTTTGAATATTTTAGAAGGTTTGTTTCTGGGCTACCTATTCTTTTTTTTTTTGAAACGGAGTCTCACTCTGTCGCCCAGGCTGGAGTGCAGTGGCGCAATCTCGGCTCACTGCAAACTTCACCTCCCGGGTTCACGCCATTCTCCTGCTTCAGCCTCCCAAGTGGCTGGGACTACAGGCGCCTGCCAACACGCCCGGCTAATTTTTTTGGTATTTTTAGTAGAGACAGGGTTTCACCGTGTTAGCCTGGATGGTCTCGATCTCCTGACCTCGTGATCCGCCTGCCTCGGCCTCCCAAAGTGCTGGGATTACAGGCGCGAGCCACCGCGTCCAGCCTGGGCTACCTATTGTTTACCATTCATCAATCTGTCTATACTTTCACCAACACTACACTGTCTTGAGTACTTTATATTAACTATTTAAATCTAGTGGGTTAGCACTTCTAAAATCGCTCTTTTTCTAATTTTTTGGGTTAATTTTAGTTTTTTTCCTCTTTACTTTTAAGTGTTAGAATCAGCTTGTCAATAACTACACAAAATGCTTTTGGGATTTTGTTTGGAATAACATTACATCTATAGATTGATTTGAGGAGGACTGATATTTTAAGAATATCATTTTCTAAACAATGAACATGGTATATATCTCTCCATTTATTTACGCCTTCTTTGATCTTTTTCATTAGTGTTTTGAGGTTCCATAATACAGACCCATCACATATTTTGTTAGATGAACATGTAAGTGTATTTTTATGTGGGAATGCTATCAAATCATATATAAAAACTGCATAACTTTGATTTCTAGTTGTACCTTGCTAGCATATTGCAATATAGTTGAATATTTTTTGTTGGTATTAACTTTGTATTCTCTAGCCTTCCTAAACTTACTTATTACTTCTGTTAATATCACAATTGTGAAATCCATCACAATTTCTAGACAGTCAATCATGTCATATATGAATAAAGATAGTTTCATGTCTTCCTTTCAAATCTGTATGACTTTTTTCTGCATTATTTTACACACTGGCAATTCCCATATGGCGTTGCATAAGAGCAGTGAGAGTATATCCATGCCTTGTTCCAAATTTTAGGGGAAAATAATTTAGTCTTTGACTAAGAAGGATGAAAGTGTTAAGATTTTTATAAGCGAATTTTATCAGATTAAGGAATTTCTCTTAATAACCTGGATAACTTAGATTTCCCTGATAACTGAGTCTTGCATTGCTGGAATAAACACTTGGTTACAATTTATTCTTATTTTTACATATTGGTAGATTTTATTAATAATATTTTATTGATGGTTTTTGCGTATATGTTCATGAGAGATATTGGCCTGCAGTTTTGTCTTCTGGCAAAGTATTAGATTGGTTTTAGTATGAGAATAATTCTTGCCTTGTAAAATAAGTTGAAACTGTGATGTCCTTTTTTATTTTCTGGAGAAAATTATGCTTAAAGTCTATTATTTTATCTTAAATATTTGGTAGAATTTGACACTGAAATCATCTTGGTTGGGAGTTTTCTTTATCCAGTAGTGTTATAAGTGAATTCAAATTATTTTATAGAAATAGAAATATTTAGGTTATTTATATCTTTGAGTGAGTTTTGTTACTTTGCATCATTTTAGGAATTGGCTCATTTCATTAAGTCATTGAAATTATGGGCATATGTTTTGGTCATCATATTTCTTTAGTATTAATTTAATATATGCAAATCTTTGGTGATATCCCATATTTTATTCTTGATACTGGTAATTTTTATGTTCTTGTATTATTATTGAAACATGTAATTTTTAACAATGTTATTAATATTTGTAAGCAATTAGATTTTGATTTGTTTGGTTATTCTCTATTCTTTGTTAGTTTTTAATTTCAATAATAAATTTTGCTTTTATTATTGTTATTTCTTTTTATTCTGCTTATTTTGGGTGTACTCATTTTTTCTAGTTTCTTGCTTTTGAAGCTTAGGCTTTTTATTTCAGACCTTTATTATTTTATAATCCTGGCATTTGCTGTAACAAAATTTAGATCAATGACTTTTAGCTGTATCCCCAAAATATGTTGTATTTTCATTTTCATTCAATTAAAAATGTTCCTAATATTTCTTAAGACTTCCTCTTTGACAAATGATTTACCTGAACTTTTTCAGTATTTCCAAATATTTGGGAATTTTCTAGGTTTTAAAATAGTATTCATCCCTAATTTAACTGCTAAAATTAGAGAATATTCTTGCATTATTTCAATTATAATTCTGAATGTTTTATATTTGCTGAAAATGTGATCTATCTTGGTGAGTGTTCCATGTACACTTGAGAATAATGTGTATTCTCTTCTTGGGTTCAGTGTTGTATAAATGTCAGCTTTATGAACTTGGTTAATAGTTTTCTTCCAATCTTCATATACTTGTTGATTTAATGTCTCCTTGTTATACCAATAGGTAAAATTGTTAAAATCTCGAAGTAAAATTGTAGATTTGTATATTTCTACTTGCAATTTTCTCAGTTTTGCCTAAGGTATGTTTTAGCTTTGTAGTTAGGTACATACACATTTAGGATGAGTTTTTGATGTATTGGCAGTTTATATTTATTATTATGAAATGCTACATTCTGTCTTGATCACTTTCCTTGTTATGAAACTACTTTCTATGATATAAATAAAAGAGCAGGAGGGGAGGAGCCAAGATGGCCAAATAGGAACAGCTCTGGTCTACAGCTCCCAGCGTGAGCAACGCAGAAGACGGGTGATTTCTGCATTTCCATCTGAGGTACCGGGTTCATCTCACTAGGGAGTGCCAGACAGTGAGCGCAGGTCAGTGGGTGCGCGCACCGTGCACAAGCTGAAGCAGGGCGAGGCATTGCCTCACTCGGGAAGCGCAAGGGGTCAGGGAGTTCCCTTTCCGAGTCAAAGAAAGGGGTGACAGATGGCACCTGGAAAATCGGGTCACTCCCAACCGAATACTGCGCTTTTCCGAAGGGCTTAAAAAACGGCGCACCAGGAGATTATATCCTGCACCTGGCTCGGAAGGTCCTAGGCCCACGGAGTCTCACTGATTGCTAGCACAGCAGTCTGAGATCAAACTGCAAGGTGGCAGCGAGGCTTGGGGAGGGGCACCCGCCATTGCCCAGGCTTGCTTAGGTAAACAAAGCAGCCAGGAAGCTCAAACTGGGTGGAGCCCACCACAGCTCAAGGAGGCCTGCCTGCCTCTGTAGGCTCCACCTCTGGGGGCAGGGCACAGACAAATAAAAAGACAGCAGTAACCTCTGCAGACTTAAATGTCCCTGTCTGACAGCTTTGAAGAGAGCAGTGGTTCTCCCAGCACGCAGCTAGAGATCTGAGAATGGGCAGACTGCCTCCTCAAGTGGGTCCCTGACCCCTGACCCCCGAGCAGCCTAACTGGGAGACACCCCCCAGCAGGGGCAGACTGACACCTCACACGGCCGGGTACTCCAACAGACCTGCAGCTGAGGGTCCTGTCGTTAGAAGGAAAACTAACAAACAGAAAGGACATCCGCACCAAAAACCCATCTGTACATCACCATGATCAAAGACCAAAAGTAGATAAAACCACAAAGATGGGGAAAAAAACAGAACAGAAAAACTGGAAACTCTAAAAAGCAGAGCGCCTCTCCTCCTCCAAAGGAATGCAGTTCCTCACCAGCAACAGAACAAAGCTGGATGGAGAATGACTTTGATGAGCTGAGAGAAGAAGGCTTCAGACGATCAAATTACTCCGAGCTACGGGAGGACATTCAAACCAAAGGCGAAGAAGTTGAAAACTTTGAAAAAAATTTAGAAGAATGTATAACTAGAATAACCAATACAGAGAAGTGCTTAAAGGAGCTGATGGAGCTGAAAACCAAGGCTCGAGAACTACGTGAAGAATGCAGAAGCCTCAGGAGCCGATGCGATCAACTGGAAGAAAGGGTATCAGCAATGGAAGATGAAATGAATGAAATGAAGCGAGAAGGGAAGTTTAGAGAAAAAAGAATAAAAAGAAACGAGCAAAGACTCCAAGAAATATGGGACTATGTGAAAAGACCAAATCTACGTCTGATTGGTGTACCTGAAAGTGACGGGGAGAATGGAACCAAGTTGGAAAACACTGCAGGATATTATCCAGGAGAACTTCCCCAATCTAGCAAGGCAGGCCAACATTCAGATTCAGGAAATACAGAGAATACCACAAAGATACTCCTCGAGAAGAGCAACTCCAAGGCACATAATTGTCAGATTCACCAAAGTTGAAATGAAGGAAAAAATGTTAAGGGCAGCCAGAGAGAAAGGTCGGGTTACCCTCAAAGGGAAGCCCATCAGACTAACAGCGGATCTCTCGGCAGAAACCCTACAAGCCAGAAGAGAGTGGGGGCCAATATTCAACATTCTTAAAGAAAAGAATTTTCAACCCAGAATTTCATATCCAGCCAAACTAAGCTTCATAAGTGAATGAGAAATTAAATACTTTACAGACAAGCAAATGCTGAGAGATTTTGTCACCACCAGGCCTGCCCTAAAAGAGCTCCTAAAGGAAGCGCTAAACATGGAAAGGAACAACCAGTACCAGCCGCTGCAAAATCATGCCAAAATGTAAAGACCATCGAGACTAGGAAGAAACTGCATCAACTAACGAGCAAAATCACCAGCTAACATCATAATGACAGGATCAAATTCACACATAACAATATTAACTTTAAATGTAAATGGACTAAATGCTCCAATTAAAAGACATAGACTGGCAAATTGGATAAAGAGTCAAGACCCATCAGCGTGCTGTATTCAGGAAACCCATCTCACGTGCAGAGACACACATAGGCTCAAAATAAAAGGATGGAGGAAGATCTACCAAGCAAATGGAAAACAAAAAAAGGCAGGGGTTGCAATCCTAGTCTCTGATAAAACAGACTTTAAACCAACAAAGATCAAAAGAGACAAAGAAGGCCATTACATAATGGTAAAGGGATCAATTCAACAAGAAGAGCTAACTATCCTAAATATATATGCACCCAATACAGTAGCACCCAGATTCATAAAGGAAGTCCTGAGTGACCTACAAAGGGACTTAGACTCCCACACATTAATAATGGGAGACTTTAAAACCCCACTGTCAACATTAGACAGATCAACGAGACAGAAAGTTCACAGGGATACCCAGGAATTGAACTCAGCTCTGCACCAAGCAGACCTAATAGACATCTACAGAACTCTCCACCCCAAATCAACAGAATATACATTTTTCTCAGCACCACACCACACCTGTTCCAAAATTGACCACATACTTGGAAGTAAAGCTCTCCTCAGCAAATGTAAAAGAACAGAAATTATAACAAACTATCTCTCAGACCACAGTGCAATCAAACTAGAACTCAGGATTAAGAATCTCACTCAAAACTGCTCAACTACATGGAAACTGAACAACCTGCTTCTGAATGACTACGAGGTACATAACGAAATGAAGGCAGAAATAAAGATGTTCTTTGAAACCAATGAGAACAAAGACACAACATACCAGAATCTCTGGGACGCATTCAAAGCAGTGTGTAGAGGGAAATTTATAGCACTAAATGCCCACAAGAGAAAGCAGGAAAGATCCAAAATTGACACCCTAACATCACAATTAAAAGAACTAGAAAAGCAAGAGCAAACACATTCAAAAGCTAGCAGAAGGCAAGAAATCACTAAAATCAGAGCAGAACTGAAGGAAATAGAGACACAAAAAACCATTCAAAAAATTAATGAATCCAGGAGCTGGTTTCTTGAAAGGATCAACAAAATTGATAGACTGCTAGCAAGACTAATAAAGAAAAAAAGAGAAGAATCAAATAGACGCAATAAAAAATGATAAAGGGGATATCACCACCGATCCCACAGAAATACAAACTACCATCAGAGAATACAACAAACACCTCTACGCAAATAAACTGGAAAATCTAGAAGAAATGGATAAATTCCTCAACACATACACTCTCCCAAGACTAAACCAGGAAGAAGTTGAATCTCTGAATAGACCAATAACAGGATCTGAAATTGTGGCAATAATCAATAGCTTACCAACCAAAAAGAGTCCAGGACCAGATGGATTCACAGCCGAATTCTACCAGAGGTACAAGGAGGAACTAGTATCATTCCTTCTGAAACTATTCCAATCAATAGAAAAAGAGGGAATCCTCCCTAACTCATTTTATGAGGCCAGCATCATCCTGCTACCAAAGCCGGGCAGAGACACAACCAAAAAAGGGAATTTTAGACCAATATTCTTGATGAACACTGATGCAAAAATCCTCAATAAAATACTGGCAAACCGAATCCAGCAGCACATCAAAAACTTATCCACCATGATCAAGTGGGCTTCATCCCTGGGATGCAAGGCTGGTTCAATATATGCAAATCAATAAATGTAATCCAGCATATAAACAGAACCAAAGACAAAAACCACATGATTATCTCAATAGATGCAGAAAAGGCCTTTGACAAAATTCAACAACCCTTCATGCTAAAAACTCTCAATAAATTAGGTATTGATGGGACGTATCTCAGAATAATAAGAGCTATCTATGACAAACCCACAGCCAATATCATACTGACTGGGCAAAAACTAGAAGCAT
Source organism: Homo sapiens (assembly GCF_000001405.40). Taxonomy (NCBI): domain Eukaryota; kingdom Metazoa; phylum Chordata; class Mammalia; order Primates; family Hominidae; genus Homo; species Homo sapiens. The sequence continues at coordinate 83,351,407 of NC_000002.12, forward strand.
TCCCTTTGGAAACTGGCACAAGACAGGGATGCCCTCTCTCACCACTCCTATTCAACATAGTGTTGGAAGTTCTGGCCAGGGCAATCAGGCAGGAGAAGGAAATAAAGGGTATTCATTTAGGAAAAGAGGAAGTCAAATTGTCCCTGTTTGCAGACGACATGACTGTATATCTAGAAAACCCCATCGTCTCAGCCCAAAATCTCCTTAAGCTGATAAGCAACTTCAGCAAAGTCTCAGGATACAAAATCAATGTATAAAAATCACGAGCATTCTTATACGCCAACAACAGACAAACAGAGAGCCAAATCATGAGTGAACTCCCATTCACAATTGCTTCAAAGAGAATAAAATACCTAGGAATCCAACTTACAAGGGATGTGAAGGACCTCTTCAAGGAGAACTACAAACCACTGCTCAAGGAAATAAAAGAGGATACAAACAAATGGAAGAACATTCCATGCTCATGGGTAGGAAGAATCAGTATCGTGAAAATGGCCATACTGCCCAAGGTAACTTACAGATTCAATGCCATCCCCATCAAGCTACCAATGACTTTCTTCACAGAATTAGAAAAAACTACTTTAAAGTTCATATGGAACCAAAAAAGAGCCCGCATCGCCAAGTCAATCCTGAGCCAAAAGAACAAAGCTGGAGGCATCACGCTACCTGACTTCAAACTATACTACAAGGCTACAGTAACCAAAACAGCATGGTACTGGTACCAAAACGGAGATATAGATCAATGGAACGGAACAGAGCCCTCAGAAATAACGCCGCCTATCTACAACTATCTGATCTTTGACAAACCTGACAAAAACAAGCAATGGGGAAAGGATTCCCTATTTAATAAATGGTGCTGGGAAAACTGGCTAGCCATATGTAGAAAGCTGAAACTGGATCCCTTCCTTACACCTTATACAAAAATCAATTCAAGATGGATTAAAGACTTAAACGTTAGACCTAAAACCATAAAAACTCTAGAAGAAAACCTAGGCATCACCATTCAGGACATAGGCATGGGCAAGGACTTCATGTCTAAAACACCAAAAGCAATGGCAACAAAAGCCAAAATTGACAAATGGGATCTAATTAAACTCAAGAGCTTCTGCACAGCAAAAGAAACTACCCTCAGAGTGAACAGGCAACCTACAAAATGGGAGAAAATTTTCACAACCTACTCATCTGACAAAGGGCTAATATCCAGAATCTACAATGAACTCAAACAAATTTACCAGAAAAAAACAACCCCATCAAAAAGTGGGCAAAGGACATGAACAGACACTTCTCAAAAGAAGACATTTATGCAGCCAAAAAACACATGAAAAAATGCTCATCAACACTGGCCATCAGAGAAATGCAAATCAAAACCACAATGAGATACCATATCACACCAGTTAGAATGGCAATTAAAAAGTCAGGAAACAACAGGTGCTGGAGAGGATGTGGAGAAATAGGAACACTTTTACACTGTTGGTGGGACTGTAAACTAGTTCAACCATTGTGGAAGTCAGTGTGGCAATTCCTCAGGGATCTAGAATTAGAAATACCATTTGAGCCAGCCATCCCATTACTGGGTATATACCCAAAGGACTATAAATCATGCTGCTATAAAGACACATGCACACATATGTTTATTGTGGCACTATTCACAATAGCAAAGACTTGGAACCAACCCAAATGTACAACAATGATAGACTGGATTAAGAAAATGTGGCACATATACACCATGGAATACTATGCAGCCATAAAAAATGATGAGTTCATGTCCTTTGTAGGGACATGGATGAAATTGGAAATCATCATTCTCAGTAAACTATCGCAAGAACAAAAAACCAAACACCGCATATTCTCACTCATAGGTGGGAATTGAACAATGAGAACACATGGACACAGGAAGGGGAACATCACACTGGGGGACTGTTGTGGGGTGGGGGGAGGGGGGACGGATAGCATTGGCAGATATACCTAATGCTAGATGAGGAGTTAGTGCATGCAGCGCACCAGCATGGCACATGTATACATATGTCACTAACCTGCACATTGTGCACATGCACCCTAAAACTTAAAGTATAATAATAATAAATTAATTAAAAAAAATAAAAAAAGAGCAATGAATATTTTTAAATTAATGATTGTATATTTTTCCATCCTTTTACTAATTTTCTATATCATGTTATTTAAAATGAGTTTTATATAAGCTCATAAAGAGGTTTATCTTGCTTTTTTAATTCATGTGTTTAGATAACTTACACAGAATATAGTTATAATATGGTGAGATTTAAGTCTATCAATTATTTTCTTTTGTTTGCTTTTTATTACTCTATTTTCAATTTCCTACCTCCCTGAAGATTATTTGAACATATTTAACATCCTATTTTATTTATTGGATTTTAGTTTTTTAATATAACTTTTTAGTTGTCTTAACTTTTCACATCCTATTTAAACTATTGAAACTGTTTTACTTGAGGTTTTACCACCTCAAGTAAAACATGGAAGCTTTACAACTACAGTATGTAGATTCCTTGATCCTCTATGTTTCAGTTTCATACATATTACATCTATTTATATTACAAGATAATGTTAAAATATTGGCATATATATTTTAAATGACTTTTGTGGAAAATAATCATTTATCTTATCTAGGTAATTAGTTTCTATTTCTCTGATGATAACTTTTATCTTTCATTTCAACAGTGTTTATTTTCGTCTTTTGGAGGATGATGATAATGACTTTTTTAACGTCTTTGCTTAATAATTCCAACATATGGGTCATCTTTGGGTTGGCAGCTATTAATTGTCTGTTCCCTTATGAATTGGTCAGATTTCCTAGTTGTAATTTTTGTACTATATGCTGGATAATTTGAAATTATCATAGTAATGTTAAAATTAAATTAACATAATGTTTTGAAATTCTGCTTCTGTTAAAATTCTCTGTAGAATTGTTAATTTCTTTTTCTTTGTTTTACCAAAAAAAATCTAGTAAACTTCATGCTATAAATTGTGTGTTATCTATTGTGGGTGATGGATTAAAATGTCAAATCTGCTTGAAATCCTTTTTTATGATCTTTGAGTCCGTCCTATTTGCCAGTTCAGGTACATTCTTAAACTTGGGTATGTTGTTTATGTTGTAATTTAATTATCAAAGATTTTAATAGAATCTTTTGAGTGTATACTACACATTCAGTGCTTAGAGAGATGGTATTGGGCCATACACAGAGTTAGGAGATTGACATCTTTAGCAATTTTCTCTCTGCCCCCAGAGACCCTTTTCCTGGTTTCTCTCAGTAATGTGATAGGGTTCTTTCAGAATGTTAGCTTCACACACAACTGTATAATGGTTGGCACTGGGCTAATGTGGCTACAGAAAAAAAAAAAGGAGAATAAAGATCAGGCTTCTCTTAACAGATTTTTTTTGTTTGTTTTTTGTTTTGTTTGGTTTTTGTCCTATTCATCCATTGAAATAAGTTCTTTTAGAGTTCTTTGTGCCCTGCTCCCTACTCCCATGACAGTAGGGATTTTGTGTTTTGTGTAATGTGGGCAAGAACATGGTAATAACATAGAAAAGAGAAAACACCAAATAGGTGATCACTCTATTTACATTCTTGGGCTCACAGATTTTCCTTTCCCAGTTCTCAGGCCAGAAAAGTAGACTATTCTTAGATTTTAATGTCTATTTCTGTTATTCAATTCCCTGATTCTACTCACTTGAGTCAAGCCTTGGGTAAAAGGAGGAGGACAGGAAAAATCTCATCATCACTACATGGGTATTTCTTCAAGTTTTGACTTTTTTCACTCATCAATCACTTGTTATTATTTATTTTTCAGAGTCCTTTGGGAGTTTATACTTGTAATCTGTTGGCAGATTTTAACTGGGGCCAGTCAGAAAGAAAACTTGAAGTGGAATGACTCCATCTTGGCTTGTACTAAAATCCTTACTAACTTGTTGTTTTTTAAATATTTATTTTATATAGTTTAGCTTTATAGAAATCCAACTAATATATAAATAACTTCATATATTTAATGTATAAAATGTGATGGTTTTGTACTTATGTATATAGCTGTGATACCATCACCACAATTAATATAATAAACATACCCTTCACATCAAGACATTTTCTTGTGTCTCTTTGCTTTTATATTTTTGTGTGTGCTAGGAACACATAACATAGATCTACCTTCTTAAAATTTTAAATGCACAATGCTTTATTGTTAAGTACAGGCGCTATATATGTAGCAGATCTCTGAATTTACTCCACTTGTATAACTGTAAGTATACCCAGCGAAAATCCCCATTTCCCCTCACCCCATGCCATGACAATCACAATTCTATTTTTCGCCTCTATAATTCTACTTTAAATACTTTCATACATGTGGAATCATGTACTATTTGTCCCTCTGTGATTAACTTACTTCACATAGCATAATGTCTTCTTTCTTTTTTTAAGGCTGATAATAGTTCATTTTATATATATCTATATCTATATATATGTATATATAGTCTTTCTTTTTTAAGGCTGAATAATAGTTCTCTCTATATATAGAACTATAGACATTGTAGTCATGTTATGCTTAGGACTTAAGGCACCCATGATTCAGAGTCTATAGGTAAGTTATTTAACTCAGATGGTTTCTAAAGCAAATGTATAAATTAAAATTGCTGGAGATTGAACGGCTTTGACCTATTTTGTAAGCTTAAGTTAACGACTGAATATACTTAAATATACATCTGCCAATAATACACACAGGCACACACACTACATTTTAAAGATCCATTTGTCTATTGTTGGGTTGTTTCCATACCTTGGCTATTATGAATAATGCTAATGCTACAATAAACATGGGAGTGCAGACATTGTTTCAAGATCCTAATTGAATTGTTTCAATTCTTTTGGATATATAATTGTAAGTGAAAATGCTAGACATATGGTGGTTTTATTTTTAAATTTTTGAAGAAAAATATATAACATATTATATATAATATATAATTATATATCATAAATAACCATATCACATAATATATATTTATTATTAATAAATATATTTATTACATATTTATGTAATGTAATTATAAAATAAACAATATATATTATATAAGTAATATATATCCATTTTATCAAGTGTGAGGTTTTATTTCATGGTTCAGATTTGCATTTTCTGATGATTTTTTTAATCTATTTTCTTTATTCAAGGCAAATGACCCTTTTATTTTACAGACAGCAACAAATATCCCACAAGCAAGCAAACATACATTCATATATAGACACAAATTTTATTTTCTTCTGATTAAAAGGATTGGTGTTAGTCTTGGAAAACTGTAGCACTGTCAATAAGAGGAAAGAAAAGATTTTATAATATTGGATGGTGATTTATTTTATTTCAGAGACAATTTTATTTCTACTTCCTATGTAATTTAGTACTTGAATTCCTTAAATCAAATATCCAGGGTTCTTGATTTTCCAATGTAAGTAGAGAAATAAAAAATATTGAAGTAAGGTGAACTGTCCTAGTAGAAATATAATTAACAGAGAATTTTGTAATAATTCTGCATTATTCTACTTTCTTTTTTCATTTTATTGTGTTTTCTTAGATTCACATTTCTTTCAATGTGATAGTCCTTTTAGTTTTGCACTTATTAGAGCTCACTTTATTAATAGAATATATATAAATATACACACATATACATATATATAATTTTTCTTTTATTTTCTCTGACATAAATATCTAGACTATTTTACCAATAATGTTTTGTGTCAGAAAATAATGAATCAAAATGGAAAATTATTTTTGCAATACAGATACAAATTGCTATGGTGGCTAGAATGATAGCTAAATGTATTTCATATGGACAAAGTATTTTATAATTTGCAAAATAAATTCCAGAAGGATATTTGTTGGCTGTTGAACAAATGAAGATATTATTTGCCCTAAATTTGATAATCTCCTATTTATTCCCTTCTTCTTAATATTCTCAAGGGAAATTCAAGAAAACACATGTTATTTGTCCCTGACATTAGCCTAGAACTTAGAGGAGTGCAGCTGCATTGCAAGGTAACTTCCCCTTGCATGGCCTAGGCAACTTTGCTGACCAGATTCAGATTTTACCTGTATACTTTGAGGGATAAGTCAAATCAGAGAACTACCTCAAGTAAAGAGCTGAACAATGCGCATGTAAAAGTTTACTTAAATGCCAGAAAAAAAGATTTCTAAGGCTACAGTTGTGAGAAGTGACTCACTGTGCAGTTGGGAGAGTATCAGGAAGAATAGGACTATGGTCAAAGGTACCTTGATGTGTGCAGCATTGAACACTTTATCTATCATAGCTGATGGCCCTGTGAAATGTCTTTGTATTTGACCAATCCAAATAAACCCTCTACTTAGAGTGAAATGGAGTGGGGAGGAAATGGGATGTCAAGAAAGGGTTTTTTCTTTAAATATGAAAAAGAAATAGACAAAAATGAACATGTACATACATGCGCATAGTCACTCCAAGGGAGAAACGTAATTACGATATGAAAATACAAAGAAAGATTGTCCAATTATATAACAAGTTAAAATATGGTAAAATTTTGAGCAACTGATTAAGTTAAAGTCAGAAATTTTGTTTACTTACCTGTTTAGTTTATTGTTTTTTTCTACTTTCTATAAGAAACATAATAACCTTCTCCAATGAAGAATAATTATATATTTTTTCATAAGTAAAATTTAAGTAAGAAGCTAATAGTTGTGCCATTATGTCCAATGCTCATTTCAGTTAGTACTATTTATTTATTTTCCATCAACATCAACAGAATTATTATTTTAAAAATAAATTAATTTCAAATCTCAGATTCAAACTTCTGTGTTTTTCCCAAAAACTATATTAAACCATTTCAAAAAGTGCCTCTACTTTTCTAAAATATTATGTTAATAAAAATTGCTTTTCTATGTTAATCTTATTAAAATAGCTCAGATTCACAGATCTTTCAATGATATACACACATACCTAGGTGTATATATGTGTGTATGTGTGTGTGCATGTCTGTGTGTATGTGTGGGTGTATTATTTTCCCAGTTTATATATATATATATATATATGTGTGTGTGTGTGTGTGTGCATTTGTGTATATAGATTTAGTTATCTATACACATAGAGATAGACAGACATGGGAAAAAAATACACCCACACAGACACACACATACATATACCCACACAGACACAAAAACACACATACACCTATCTAATAGATAGACAGATAGACATAGCTAGGGAAATTATACACCCTTTTTAAAATTTTACCTGATTGTCATAAAATGTTGTTTTTTTTTTTTTTTTTCAAAAAATAGCATGCCATTCTCTATCTCTTTTTTTGTCAGTTGAGATTAGTCAATATTTCCAATCTTTGAAATCAGGCAAAGAAAACAGAAAATTTTCATGCATATAATTATTTGACTCATAAATATTATTGAATAAAACAATCCTTATTGCCAGGGACAGTGGGTCATCTGTAATCCCACCACTTTAGGAGGCAGAGGCGGGTGGATTGCCTTAGCCCAGGAGTTGTAGGCCAGCCTGGGCAACATGGCGAAACCCTGACCACTAAAAATCCAAAAATTAGCTGATCATGGTGGTGCACACTTCTTGTCCCAGCTATTCGGGAGGTTGAGGTGGGAGGGTTGCTTGAGTCCAGGAGATGGAGGCTGCAGTGAGCTGTGATCGTGCCACTGCACTCCAGCCTGGGCAACAGAGCAAGATTACATCTCCAAAACAAAACAAACAAAACACACAATAATTACCTTATTTTTGACATAGCTTCTTATGAAATCTGAAAATATTCCAATCTTATATATAATTGCCACTCCCAGATTTGTATATACATCAGAAACTTGAGATACAAGATTAACTATATGTAGTAAATTTCATTTCTTCACTTACTACATTGATTTTCCACATCAAAAGTCTCTAAAATTAGAAAAGACACTGAATGTGAACCCCCAAACGCCTCATTTAAAAACAATTTAATTGCTATAATTATCATAAATCACTCTAATAGGGTAATTTTCTTTCAGTTATGACACCATCACATTTGAGTTCATTGGGGCTTTTCTAAATAAAACATAACCTTTCATTCTGAGATGATGTCATGCGCTCTTCTGTATTTTGACTCAACTCATAACTCTGAATGAATAAAATACATGATAAAATTTTGCTGATGAGGTTTATCGTTAGCCATCAAAATAGCCTGCAGTCTATTTCTAAAAATTTATATCATTCCATTATGAATATTTAGACATTGTAGTCATGTCATGCTGAGGTCTTAAGGCACCCATGATCCAGTATGTTGCTAAGTTATTTAACTCAGATGGTTTCTGAAGCAAATGTATAAATTAAAATTGCTGGAGATCAAATGGCTTTGTTCTATTTTGTAATCTTAAGTTAACCACTGAATCCATTTAAAAATATATCTGCCAATATTTTAAGCCCTATCACAAGAGGTATTGTAAAAATTTATGTTCATTTCTATTAAACTCAAAAAGGAAGACTTAACTGAAGGGCCATAATCTAATTAAATTAATGTTACATAGAACAAAACACACATTGAATATAAAGCCACTTTTCTTTGCTATACTGTAAATGGAAAATTAACTTTTCTGAGTTGTTAGTACAGAGCCAGGTATTTTAACTTGATTCAAAGATCTAATAACTTTACTACATTTACAGACTTCTCACTTCCTGTGTGAATATCTTCCTTAATCAGTAATCTCTGATTGAGATTGAGAAAAGCTTTTCTTTATTTAAGAAAAGCTTCTCGGCTGGGCGCTGTGGCTCATGCCTATAATCCCAGCACTTTGGGAGGCCGAGGCGGGCGGATTACGAGGTCAGGAGATGGAGACCATCCTGGCTAACACGGTGAAACCCCGTCTCTACTAAAAATACAAAAAAATTAGCCGGGCACAGCGGCGGGCGCCTGTAGTCCCAGCTACTCAGGAGGCTGAGGCAGGAGAATGGCGTGAACCCGGGAGGCAGAGCTTGCTGTGAGCCGAGACCATGCCACTGCACTCCAGCCTGGGCGACAGTGGGAGACTCCATCTCAAAAAAAAAAAAAAAGAAAAGAAAGCAAAGCTTCCGGAAAGTTTGGTCACCTTATTCATACTTCAGGTTACTTATCAATGAATTCAAAACTAAGGCAATTCTAGAATAATGAACATGAGACAGAATAAAATAAACCCACGAGTGCCAGGGTAGAAAATGTGAACTGATTTTGGAACAATGAGATCAAATCAAGACAAAGTATCAGCATATTCCCATACTAGCTCAGAAAGAGGTATATTGACAAAAATAATGAAATCCCCTATTTCTCTCATTAGCAAGAACAACCTAGAATTCTCCTTATTACTGTAAATTGTATAATTCATATAAACCTGATATGGTTTGGCTGTGTCCCCACCCAAATCTCATCTTGAATTCCCATGTGTTGTGGGAGGGAGGTGGTGGGAGGTGGTTGCATCATGGGGGAAGTTCTTTCTTGTGCTGTTCTTGTGATGGTGGATAAGTCTCACGAGGTCTGATGGTTTTAGAAACAGTAGTTTCTCTAAACAAGCGCTCTTTGCCTGCCGCCATCTGGGTAAGATGTGACTTGCTCTTCCTTGCCTTCCGCCATGATTGTGAGGCTTTGCCAGCCACGTGGAACTGTGAGTTCTCCATTAAACCTCTTTCCTTGTAAATTTCCCAGTCTCACTCCTTATCAGCAGTGTGAAAACAGACTAATACAAAACCCTATTAGTATCATTTCCCATTCTACCTCCCCACTTAATTATTTTACGACTTGTTACATTCTCCTCCCCACAGCTCTTTGCTAACTTTAGGTTTCGTGGAAGATTCTAAACCTTAAATGAAAGAAAATAAGAATAAAATTTGGGAACTATAACGATATCATCCACTTTACTGTTTCAGTATTTTGAATTTGGATCTGAATGCAATTCCAAAAGAGTCCTGATTCTTAAGCCAGTTCTTAAATATTCACAAGTGGCTTATCCTTACATGAAGATGATTTAAATGTTCCAATGTCCTCTGAGAGCAATGTAAAATATCCCTGAATTTCAAAGTTATCATGAGTATAATGCTTAAGAGTGTGAGATAATGATTTAGACTGACTAAGCTCAAATTCTAGCTCAATCACTCAATGATTTTGTTAAATTGGCCACATAATATTCTTGTGGAACTTTAATTTTCCATTTATATGTCACCATGTTAACAATAATAAAAGTAACGTTATAAACTTGTATACAGCAAATAATAGAAAATGTATGAAATTACTGACCATAAATATAATCATTTAAAGTTATCGTAAATAGTAGTAGTAAAAAAAAGAATCAAAATTGAGCACCCAAAGGAGGCCATTCAAGGAAAAACTTTGCTTAATCAAGAAATAGCAGTTCAATGTCTCTTGCTTTAATTTACCCTAGCATTTACGTAATTTTAATTACCTCTGCTCTTCTCATAGAAAATCCTCCAAATGCAATCAGTTTGACTGTATCTTTTTTGCCCAGTGAATCCAACTTGGAACTAATATTGTTGGGTTCTAATTCTATTTCCAGGAAGTGTCCCTCTTCCTCAGCCAACTGCCAGGGTTATGCTGAATCCCGCATTTTGCGGAACTGCTAAACTATTTTTGTCTCTCAATCTAAAGTGTTAGTACATATTTGTAGTATTTTTCTTATTCTCATTCTTTATATCCAATCAACTAGAATCTTTCTTTTCTAACTCAGTAAGTCTATTTCTTGTGTATCTCTTATTAGTGCTTAACTTGTATTTCTATTCCTTCTAATGTCACATCTGTATTATTGGACCACCTTACAATAGTGCTGATGTTCCCATGCTCTCACCTAGTCTAGTCCATGATCATCGGTTCCAAATTTTTTTCTAAAATGTAAATTTAATTGCAGTGTTTAAAAATTTTTACTTTATGTTACATTGTAAACACTTGCAGATATAATTGTTTTTAGTTTTGTTCTTATTGTTATTATTTCTACTAATTCAATTCAAGCCCATTTAAACAGGTAAAATGTAGAAGTAAATGCTACAGAAAAGTTCTGTCTGGGCACCATGGTTCACACCTGTGAATCCCAGCATGTTGGGAGGCTAAGGTGGAAGGATTGCTTAAGGCCAGGAGTTAAATACCAGCCTGAATAACCAGTGAGACTCCTTCTCTCCAAAACAAAAAACAAACAAACAAACAAATTAGCTGTGCATAGTGGCACACACATGTATGTAGTCCCAGTTATTCTGGAGGCTAAGGTGGGAGGATCGCTTGAGCCCAGGGTTTGAGGCTACAGTGACCCATGATTATGCCACTGCAATCCAGCCTGCCCAGCAAGACCTTGTCTCTAAATAAATAAATAAAAAGAAAAGAAAAAAAAATAACAGAAAAGAACATTTTCCCTCATAATTGATATTCCTAGTTAAACTCCTTAGAGGTAATTCCTTTTAAGAGTTTTACATGTATACTTTTAAAGATATTTTAAACACAAACACACGCATTCACACACACACACAGCATAGGTATGTGTACGTGGATATGCATATGAGGTTACTGAAAAGGTAAGATTTTCAAATCAGACTGTTAGAATCAGAGATCTTACCTAATATAAAGCTTTCCAAATAATTTAAATACTAACAGTAATCCTAAAACACAGATGAAGAGTAGTGAAGCTTAGACTGCCAAGGTTGCTCCCAGGTTGGGTTCCTATGTCAAATTTATGAGATCTATCTGAGATATAATACAAGTGGGCACATCACTTACCCAAAAGGAAACTGCTTTAGTTCTGAAACATAACCATTGTAAAGTAGCAGTTATATAACATGTTAAATTTTTCCATGATATTACACAATACATACTATTTTACCATTTTTTATTTTATTTTATTTTATTATATTTTATTTATATTTTATTTATTTTATTTTATTATTTTATTTTATTATTTTTACTTTATTTTATTTTTTTATTGTATTGTATTGTATTGTATTGTATTGTATTGTATTGTATTGTATTGTATTGTATTGTATTGTATTTTTTTATTTTATTTATTTTGAGATGGAGTCTCACTCTGTCTCCCAGGCTGGAGTGCAGTGGCACAATCATGGCTCACTGCAACCTCTGCCTCCCAGGTTGAAGTGATTCTCCTACCCCAGCCTCCTGAGTAGTTGGATTACAGGCACGCGCCGCCACAACCAGCTAATTTTTGTATTTTTAGTAGTGATGGGGTTTCACCATGTTGGACAGGCTGGTCTCGAACTCCTGACCTCCTGATCTGCAGACCTTGGCCTCCCCAAAGTGCTGGGATTACAGACGTGAGCCCCTGTGGCCAGCCTTAATTTTTATTAGTATTACTATCTATAAGTTTTATTTATTTTGATTTTATTTTTTTTTTGGAGACAGAGTCTCACCCTATCACCCAGGCTGGAGTGCAGTGGCATGATCCTGGCTCACTGCAACCTCCACCTCCTAGGTTCAAGCGATTCTCCTGCCTCAGCCTCCCGAGCAACTGGGATTACAGGCATGTGCCACCACACCCAGCTAATTTTGTGTATTTAGTAGAGACGGGGTTTCACAACGTTAGCCAGGCTGATCTCAAACTCCCGACCTCAGGTGATCTGCCGGCCTTGGTCTCCCAAAGTGCTGGGATTATAGGCGTGAGCCACTGTGACCAGCCAAGTTTTATTTTTATATATCTTATGTGTAATGGTTTCCCACTATTCTTTTCTTTAAAGATATACTCTAATTTATGTTTCTTATCCTATATTGATTGATATTTTAGCCGTATTTTAATACTTTAAGGCTACCTAAATTTGCACATATTTTTATAATTTGTACACATATATCTAAAGAAATTTTTTAAGGGGGTTGTAGATTTTAATTTTGACAGACATGGTAAAATTCAACTCAAACCAGATATTTCAACTTAAACCCTCATTAATTGAGGACAGTACATATTTCACTTCAACAGTTGACATTATTATACTTTTTAATCGTAGTCAATTTTATGAGTAAAATGTGTCATGTCACAATTTCTGTCTTATTCATCCAGCAAACACTTTTGGAATGCTTATAATTTGCCAGGCACCATTCTGGCAGTTAGACTATAATGAATAAAACACGAAAGTTCTCATGGAGCTTCTGGGAGCAGAAAGACAATTTTGAAAACACAATAAAATAGAATGGGGAACTAGTGATGACTTCTAGATAAATACTCTAAAAAAGCCAAAGCAGTTTAAATGGATAAAAGGATGGGGCATTCTACCAGCAATTGCATCAAGGGAATCCTCTCTGAGCAGTTAATATTTACAAAAAAAAAAAACAAAAAAAACTTAAAAATTTTAATTTTAAGATATATTTAAATGACCATCCAGAATTTGCAATTATTAATTACACTTAAGATTTAGTACATTTCAATATATTTATTTGTGTTTGATTTTCTATGAAATGTTGGTAACATTGATTATTATCCTATTTAATTGCATATTTTATTATATATTTTAATAACTGGTCTTTTTATCAGAGGTAAGTAACATGTAAGGACTTTAAATCCCAAGGTTTTATCTCATCTCTTGTATATCCTATCACATGTATTATACAAAAATTACATAAAACTTCTAATTCTATGCTTCTGTCAATTTCTCTCCATAGAGAATACTCATACACATCTGGTAAAACACAGCTCATTCATCTCCTCAGCTGTGGAAGTATTCTTAACTTCCCAAGAAAGAGATGGCTCCATTCCTCCCTCAGGTCTCCCAGTATCTTATTCTTATCTCAATTATGGTAATTATCATCCTATATTGTAAGCATGCACCCATTTTTGACATAAACACTTGATTATGGCCTCTTATCCATTTGCTTCTCAAGATTTATCACAAGGTATGACCTTTAGTAGGTTTCAATGAATATGTCTAAAAATAATAGATAAGTGGTTGAATAAATGCAGCATTCAGCTCTGTAAGACAGAGAGACAATAGTTAAAATATTCACATGTGGGTTTAAAACTCATCATTTTGTGTCTTCTACTCATAAGAAACACACTCTAGTTGGATGTGAGAGCTACTTTTAATCTTCTTCAATTTGCACTGGCCTTTTGCTTACTAAATAAATCCTGAAGTTAGCCACATTTATCTGATTGTGTTGATATGAGCCCTCTATCACTAGGTCAATTTTGTTTTTACTCTGTGTTTTAATTCCTTCCACCAAAGCATCTGATTTCCCTGGTGATTCAGCATTAGCTAGAAGTGTAATTAGTACCATCCCTACAACCTTTCTACATTGTTTCTGAATACTACAGCAAGAGGAAAAGAAGTTGGAATAATTCCCTAAGGTCCTAACACCTCATGATTATTGTCTACAAATTTCCTAATTATTCCATGTTTGTATCCTTGAGTTATGTCTAAGACTAATATCTTTGGTATGATTTCAACCCAAGATGATAGATAGGCTTGCAGGATAAGAATAATAAGAGTGGACATTGTAGCTGTTGCATTCAAGCACACTTCTAGGCCACTATCTTCCATAGCTATATGCCTTGGAATTAGAATCTCAATTTAATCTCAATAAAAGTGTTTATATTTTGGATGTGAAAATATCAGATGCCTTCAGCCATGCAGGAGCAGGAAAATTGGTTCTTTAAGTGCTCAGAGAGTGTCTAGGAATCCAGTCCCAGAAGGAGCACTTGCCAAGCAAGTGCTAATTCCAAGAAATATAGTTAGGAAATCATGGTACCCTTTGCACCTCATTACAAGCAACAGCGTATCATAAACATACTTTTTGGTTGATAGAGTTTTCCCACAGTTAGTTGTTAATTAATAATGAATACCCCAAAAAATCGAAATCGGAGATTATATTGGAGAGGGGGCAAATAATTCTTAGCTGTCAGGACATCTTGGTAGATATGGGAAAATACTTTGTGCAAAACAGTCAAATGGGGTGTCAATATTAGTGTAATAACTAAAAGGAGCACTAGGCCTCCAAAAAATATTCTTCCTAATATACTGTTCTGGATGGGCAAGTGCTTTGAGATATCCCCTGCATTCGGAAATATTGCAATTGGGCCAAAAGCACTTTATTGAAGAATTAAGCTCCAAACCTTTAAAAAGAGTACATTTCAATTCATATAGATGAGTAAATATCTCTCTCAGTAAGTTTGAACGTGAACTATTTTTTGAATTTTTTTCAGAGATATTCTTTGTAACAGATAACCATGCACTTATTTCAGATTGCCTCCTCTGAGTAAGTTTGAATGTAAACTATTTGTTGAACTTTTTCAGAGACATTCTTTGTAACAGATAACCATGCACTTATTTAAGATTGCCTCCAACTCTTATGCTTTTGGAATGAATAATATATGAATTAAAATTTATGGAAATTTATTGAAGTTTTCTATGTGGAGAAAAAAAGTCACTAAGATAATGTTAAAGGAGATGTAGATGGTGGCTGTGGATGTAAGTCAATTTCTAGTTTATGTAGAAAGTTATTGCTAATAAAGTTAATGGCAATAGCCATATAATTTATTTAACAATAATTTGGGATAGTGATTAAGGGAAAATAACAATTTATACAAAATTTTTAAAAGGTTTTTACACTTGTTTCTTAACATTTAGATTAATTTCTAAATGTATCAGATTTCAATTCATTAATTTATATGCATTTCCACTGTAAACAATCTCATTTTCTGAAAACTCACATTCGTAAAACAAAAAAGAATCAATTTGTGGGTAAGAATTCATTTCAAAATGATGTATTAATTTTAAAGAAGATTCTTTATTGTGTTAGTGCACTTAACACAAATTCCAAGGAGTTGAGGAGGCTGATCATTTTCAAGGTCCTTCCATGGAACAAAATGTAGAGTGAGGCATGAGGCTTAATGAAGGGAGAAGATAAGAGCCATTTACAGACAGGAAAATGTAACAAGGTGTACAATACCCTAAGACAAGACATTTTAAATATTGTGACTCAGGGATATAATATAATTAGTATTGTCTAAGACTTACATATGCTTCTAAGTATTGTTTTATGTGTGGGGGATTAAGTTTTAAATTTTTAAAGTAGACTTTTTTTTTTTCTTTTTTTTGAGATGGAGTCTTGCTCTGTCACCAGGCTAGAGTGTAGTGGCATGATCTAGGTTCACTGCAATCTCTGCTTCCCAGGTTCAAGCAATTCTCCTGCCTCAACCTCCCAAGTAGCTGAGACTACAGGCGCACGCCACCACGTCCAGCTAATTTTTGTATTTTTAGTAGAGACGGGGTTTCACCATGTTCGCCATGATGGTCCCAATCTCTTGACCTCATGATCCGCCCACCTCAGCCTCCCAAAGTGCTGGAATTACAGGCATAAGCCATCATGCCGGGCCTAAAGTAGACTTTTAAGGTTGAAAGTTCTGCATTGTTTTTACTTTTTCTGTCTTTCTCTCTCATTTGATTTATGTTATGGCCTTTACATTAAAAAATAGTAATATATCACTGAAGTAGTTCAGAGATCAGAATAAAGCCCAGAATTGAGGATGTCAGAAATGCATTCGTTATGGCTGACTTGAAGGTATAGGGTTAGGAGAGAAGTAGATAAGGAGAACATGTATTTTTTATTGCCTGTGATTTCTTCTCTGATTCTAGCAAAGGGACAAAGAAAAAGATTCAGGGCAAATTCTCAAAGAATAAAGAGGTTGCATTGGCTGCAATTTCCTTGACACTCAGGTATATTCAGAAGCCTGAATGTGATGGGTAAAGAAGGGTAGGCCGGGCGCGGTGGTTCACGCCTGTAATCCTAGCACTTTGGGAGGCCGAGGCGGGTGGATCACGAGGTCAGGAGATCGAGACCATCCTGGCTAATACAGTGAAACCCCGTCTCTACTAAAAATACAAAAAATTAGCCAGGCGTGGTGGCAGGCGCCTGTAGTCCCAGCTACTCCGGAGGCTGAGGCAGGAGAATGGCGTGAACCCGGGAGGCGGAGCTTGCAGTGAGCCGAGATCGCGCCACTGCACTCCAGCCTGGGCGACAGAGCGACTCCGTTTCAAAAAAAAAAAAAGAAGAAGAAGAAGGATAGAGGAGATAGTTGGAAAATCTAAAATTAAAAATGTTTATTTAAAAACTTCAGTTCTCAAATCACTTCTAAATATGATTCAGTGTTTCAAACCTTATTCTAAGAACAACCTTTCAGTATATAAGAGATTAATAACAATGAGTGTCACTGGCACGTTAATGCCTCGTCATAACAAGTCACAGAACCAAATTGCAACCATTTTGACATCATAGAATAAAGGGATATTTGGAAAAGGATGTGGTCAAAATAAAAATACACTTGCAAATATGTATTTATATTTGCTCCTCTGTGCCACTAAATTTCCAACATTACATTATTTTCATATATAAAAGAAACATACCTTTTGAAAAATTGTAAAAATATTTTAGAAAATAAGTCTTTTGTGTATCTTTTAACAGCTTCTCTCACATACACTCAAAGGAACAAAATGTTCTTGGCCATAAAACTCAGATTCAGTTTTGAAAAATATCTTAAACCTGTTGCTCCGAATCTTCTTTGACACTTTTCTGTGATCAAATATCTGATGCTTCTGGAAAATAATGTTTTACAGGGCATACTTCTACTCAGACTTTACTTGAAGAATTACAAAGTCTAAAATAAAGCTAAAAAAAAAAAGTTTAACAACAACAGCTGCTGCATACCACAGACATTTAAAACGGGAATGCATAGAAAATGAGTCAGATGAGGCTGGATAATTGGAGCCAACATAACAATAGTTATAGCAAGGAACAGTTTTTGTTTTTTCCTAATTGTCAGACATACAGTATTAGAGACACTGAAACAGAGGAATTAGTCCTGTTTGCTTTAACGACTCACTGCTTCATTTGAAGTTTCTCCAATTATATTTTCAAAAATAGTGCTGAAAGTATTGAACAAGGATGTTCAATGAAACCGTTGTTACTTTATTCTAATTTTGTATCTTGCTTTCTTTCTGTTGCAATATTTACTATGGTAAAAATTAATGGATTTAAGATGTAAAAAATAAAGATTATTATAATTAAATTATCAAGGAAACATGAAAAGACACTAAAAACTGATTTTGAACTCCGAAAAAAGGGAAATATTTATCATTATATTATTATTTTTTGAGACAGTCTTGCTCTGCCTCCCATGCTGGAGTGCAGTGGCGCAATCTCAGCTCACTGCAACCTCCACCTCTTGGGTTCAAGCGATACTCCTGCCTCAGCCTACCAAGTAGCTGGGATTACAGGTGTCCACCACCATGCCTGGCTAATTGTTTGTATTTTTAGTAGAAATGGGGTTTCACCATGTTGGCCAGGTTGGCCTCGATCCCCTGACCTCTAGTGATCCATCTGCCTCGGCCTCTCAAAAGTGCTGGGATTACAAGCATGAGTCACCGTGCCGGGCCACATTTCTTAATAGATACAATTTCTTTTTTTTTTTTTTTTTTTACTGTTTTATACAGCCTAAAATCAGTGACCTTTTTGTTTATCTTTTCTATTAGAAAAAAATTACAAATTAACTTGTAATTTCTCACTGGGGAGTCTAAAGATATAGAAAGAAGCAATATCAAATTCAGATGTATATTCTGGAATAATTCCAAACTTGTATCAAATTTAGATGTGTACTTAGGAGTACTCTGATCATTTTATTTTGAAATAAAATCAAACAATGAAAAGGACATGCAGTTATCCTCATGCTTTGCTTCCAAGTTTTCGATTTTTTTTCTTAATAATCTTGCCTAGATATCTAGTGTAGTTAAATGATCTTATAGGGAGAGGAACACAGGAAAACACTTCTGTTCACTTTTAATATCACCATTTAGGCCACACTAGGGTTATGTATGACATAGAGAGTGGAATGCCACTTTCAAGGTAGAATCAGGCTTCTGTGGGCAACTGAATGCCATGAGCTTGCAAATGAAAGAAAAAAAAGTGTTTCCTCAGTTCCATAAAGATTCTTGCTAGAATCATGGGATTTAAAATGATTAGCAAGATATTTAGTATATTTTTCCTCAGTAGTTCAGGTAATTAATGGTGACAGAAGATAAGAACAGTTGTTCTCAAAAGTTGTGTGTTTATGACACACTCTAAACCTTGTCCTATGAACTGCTGAGTTGAATATTAAAAACAAAGTACACATAACGAGTTGTCCAAAAATAAGCTATGATTACAATGTTAGTGGTTAATGTGGAAAGCTTGGCTAAGAGGCATCTTTCGAGGTCTTCTTTTTTAAGTGCTGAATCAGAAAACTTGGTAACTAATTATAAAGAGAGGTGAGGCAAATATTAGGAATAATTCTGAAGCTGCTAGACAGCAGTAACTGAAAAGAATTTTGTATCTATATTAGCAATGATAAATTTACATTTATTAATATAAAGCATCTCTAATGAGTTTCTTATCAAAACTTTTCATTGATTTTGAGCAAATTAAAATAGTCTTTTGAGACAAATAATATTTTATTTTATGTCCATGTGATTATTTGTTCCATAATCAGTTGAATAAATGCATCTTTTTGACAAAATCTGATGAACTTAACTAAATACAAGATTTACATGTGAATCAGTGCATAAAAATGAACTATTATACTAATTTCAAATAACTATATATTCTTAAAAATGTGACAAAGTACAATGAACAATAACTTTAGAGATATTTATTTGGTGGAAATTGGGAAAATATAGAGATAACAAAAATACCAAAATGTAATATATAAAATTAATTTGTAAAGTAAATAATTAGAAAATCACAACAAGAAGGCTTACAAACCTGCATGTTGTGCACATGTACCGTAGAACTTAAAGTATAATAAAAATACATATATATAAAAAAAAGAAAAGAAGGCTTCTAGGACAAGGCCTACACTTGCATATCACACTTAGCATTGGTTTTGCAATAATAATTTAATATGCATTAGATATTTATGTTTTTTACCCCTAGATAACTGTAAGGTGACTAGCTTTCTTCAAATGTTTACTCTGCTGACCAAGGAAAGGCCAATAGCAAATGTAGAAAAGCATTTAACAGATGCTAAAAAAAACCTCACTTCTTACTTTCTCATTAAAGTCATTTTGAATAACAGAAAAATAAAATGACTCAGATATTTGTTTCAGAAAACTACTTTCATTTTAAATAAAGCATGGAGAGGTCTGAGGAAAGCTGGTAATCATACACAATTCAGTTCAAGCTCCTGAATTGTTCATGGTCTAAATGCCAGGGGTATTTTTGTATTCATGGCATCTAAAGGGAGAATATTCATGCCGTTAGAAATCTTGCTGCATACTGCTTTTTCAAAAATACAATTTTCGTCTGGACATTTAGATTGATTTCTACGTAGAGCCTGCTTGCCTGTACACAAGTGTCTCCTGTTTAAATTTGTTCTAAGGTTAAAAATAAAAAAATGCAGCCATGGTTGGTATTTTGCTGTAAATCAGCTTCAGATTATAAAACTGAGCTTTTGATGCTTTTCAGACATAGAATTACATGTAGTTTATCTATTCTGTTGGATTTCTCTCCAGAAAATTAAATGCTTATAAATAATTATTTAACATGTATCAAAAAACAGCAGTAGAAAGAAAACATTTTAACAAGCGTATATAGGGAATAGACAGGAATTAGGATAATAGTTATTTGTTAGTTAAAGTTTGGCATTTTCTGACCTGAAGTCAAATTCCTTCTGGAGACATGTTCTAAAACTCAAAATGATAATCAGTAAGGTTTCAAAGATTATGTTTTATACTGATAAAATGACTTTAAAATTTCAGTACACTGAGAAAAGGTGGCTAGTATAATATATTGCATATTCGTGTAATTGTATGACAAGAGTATCAATAAAATTTGCTGTGCTTCTATTTGGTTGAACAGCTTTCAATAAACCACATTGGTAAACAAGTGCATAAAAATAAATAAGTCTTATTTTTATATAGTGACATTGCATGTCAAACATTTAATGTTGAAAAATAAATTTTAATTTTATTAATTCAAACTATTCAAAGGGAAAAATATGCTTGATATATCTTACTATACATTAGAGAAGCAGAGGAAAACGCTTATTTTCTAATGATACAGGGTTGAAGGCATTAATTGATTATTGGGACCACCATGGCTCTATTCATTCTCATGTCTTGCCTTTTTTTTCCAGAAACATGTGCTTATATGTTTCTTTCTTCCACGTTCTCTCCTTAGACAACTGAAAAACACTTTTAAATATCAGACATTTATCGTCTATCTTGGCTCTTCTTTCCTCAGCTATTTTTGTCTCTTTAAAAATAGAGTTTGGTCAATATGAGCTTCATGAAAATGAAAAAAAAAGATAGATCAGCTGGAAACGCCTTCGAAGACCTTAGCTCAGATTTCTAGGCCTATTTTTTCATAAGGACATCACCTATTACCCTAGCAATGATACACTGCCTTCTCTTCCTGGGAAGGGGGCTCTTATGAGGGGAGATCCCTGGGACCCCAGGGTAAAAATATGGCAGATGACAAATTTGGCACCTCTGAGTTGTATATTAACACCCTGGGAAGGGGTTAAGGTACAAAATAGATAAGAAATTAACATAACTCAATAGCAAAAAGTCAAGTAATCTGATTAAAAATGGGCAAAAGGCCTGAATACATATTTTTCCAAAGATGACATACAAATGGCCAACAAGCATATAAAAAAGTATTCAATATGACTAATCATCAGGGAAATGAAAATTTAAACCACAATGAGATATCACTTCAAGGCTGTTAGAATGGCTGTTATTAAAAAGATAACAAGTGTTGGCAAGGATGTGGAGGAAAGTGAACACATGTACAATGTTGATGGGAATTTAAATTGGCATAGCCATTATGGAAAACAGCATGGAGATTCCTCCAAAAATTTAAAAAAGAATGACCATATGACCCAGCAATTCCATCTCTGGTTATATCTTCAAAAAAATCGAAATCACTGTCTGCACAAGATATCTGAATTTCTATGTTCATTGCAGTTTTATTCACAATAACAAAGATATGAAAACATCCTAAACATCCATCAATGGAAGAATGTATCAAGAAGAAAATGCATACACAAGCATACACACACACACACACAGAGAGAGAGAGAGAGAGACAGAGAGAAATATTATTTAGCCATAATAAGAAATCCTGTTATTTACAAAAACATAAATGAATCTGGAAGGCATTATGCTAAGTGAAGTAATCCAGATATAGAAACATAAATACTGTGTAATCCTACTTACATGTACCATCCAAAAAGATCAAATTCATAAAAGCAGAAAGTAGAACAGTGGTTGGCAAGGACTTGGGGATAGAAGAAATGAGGGAGTTTGATCAAAAGTCACCAACTTTCAGTAGTAAGATGAATAAGTTCTGGGGATTTAATGTATGGCATGATATCTAATGTTGATAATACTGTTTTACCTGAAATTTGAGGGGAGCAGATTTTAATGGTCCTTACCACCCCACCCCACACAAAAATAGTAATTAGTTGTGGTGATGCAGATGTAAATAGATTGTGGTAAGCAGTACACGATGTATATGTACATCAAATCATCATGTTGTACACTTTAAATACATAAAACAATTATCTGTCAAACAAATGTTTAGATTTTTTAAAAATAAAAAATGCAGATAATACAGATTTCTTAAAAGCACAGATAATTCATAAATCTACGACAAAATAATAGCCTAGTTGAGTTGATTAACCTGGCATTATAACTTAAATGGTTCATGTTTAACAAAGGTCTTCGAATTTTCCTTTAGTGACCCTCCCCCATTTAATAACTTAAAAATCTTTATACAGGAGCTACTTTTTGCTGTTGTATTCTTAGAGATGTCATTGCTTTTTTAATAGATATGTTATTAAAATATGTTGTTTGATTACAGGATATATATCTATTAAAGATAAATTGGGAAATAAAAAGAGGAAAAAGAACAAAAAAAGAAACTAACAGTGCAGCATCCTAGAGACTTTACTAACAACTTCTTCATTTATTTTCTGATTTAGGATACCCCAAACTGATACATTTTTATATCATCTTATTGAAGATACAATAAACTTCATAAATTTTACAGATATAAAATCCAAGGTGCATAGTGGCCTGTGACTTTCAAAGGATACTTGGGTAATAAATATTTAAGTCAAGTATTGACTCCAAAACCCATGCCATTTATAAAATTACATATATACAAGTTTAAAATATTGTTAGAAGCTGACTTTTTACACAAAGCATTGTGGTGTTATTCAACAAAAGTTACTTAAATATTTAATAGACTTTAGAATGGTTCTCTTATTAAAAGCACCTTACATTAGTATGGTACACTCATTATAATTAATGAAAAATATTAATGCACTATTATTAACTCAAGTTCATATTCATATTTCCTTAGTTTTTGCCTAACGTCCTTTTTTTGCTCCAGAGTGCTATTCAAAAGACCACATGACATTTGGTTTTCTGGTTTCCTTAGGATCCTTATGACAGTGACAGTCTCTCAGACTTTCTTTGCTTTTGATGACCTTGACAAATGCGAAGAGTACTGGTCAGCTTCCTTACATGATGTTCCCCTATAGAAACTTATCAGATGATTTTACTTCTCTGGTTAAAAATTATTATGTGTTATTGGAGAAAAAAACACAGAAATAGGTGCCATTTAAATTACATCATATCAAGGATACATACTATCCACATGTTGATTACTGTGGATGTTAACCTGACACCTCTCTGGGTAGTGGATGTCAGGCTTAGCCACTGTAAAGTCAATCTTCTTCTCTTGACCACTTTCCATACTGCAATGTTTGAAAGTAAGTCGCTATGCACATTCCACACTTAAAACAGTGGGGAGCTGTTTCCTCTGCTTGAGACTGGAATATCTACGTAAATTATGTGCACTTCTTCTGAACAAAATATTTATCTCCCTTCATCATAAATTAACTTATTTAGAGTATATTTATATGTATATGCTTATGTATGTTTATTTTGTATTTTGGGTTATAATCCAACACTACTCCATTTTGTAATTCAAATTGTTCCAGTGGCCACAGAGGGCGCTTATGATTGGATCCTATGTGTCTTTTGACGATCACAATGAATGTATGTCATTATTGTTTTTTTCAGACTGTAAAAAGGAGTTAAGTTCTTCTTCCAGGTTTCTTTTGGCTGAGCCTGAGAATTAAATTGATATATGCTATGGTTTGAGTATGGTTTCCTCTCTCCAAAGCTCATGTTGAAATTTGATTGCCATTGTGGTGATGTTGTGAGGGGGGACCTTCAAGAGGTGATTAGGTCATTGAGAGGAATTGATGTCTTCTTTGAGGGAGTGGATTAATGATCGTGGGAGTGGGTAATTGTGAGAGCAGGTTGTTATGAAAGTAAGGTAGATTTTCTGTTTGTCTTTTCACACACATTTGCTTGTTCTTCCTCCTTTTTACCATGTTATGATGCAGCATGAGGCCCTTGCCAGATGCAACTGCCAGATCTTGAACTTTCCAGCCTCCAGAACCATGAGCTAGACAAAATTATTTTCTTTATAAATTACCCAGTCTCAGATATTCCATTAGTGCAACTGAAAATGGATTAAGATAAGACCGAGCAACAGAAGAAAAGTATATAACTTTATTCAACAAGTTTTAAGTGGCACAGGAACCTTCATAAAGAAATGAAGACCCAAAGAATTTAGACTTAGTTACTTATATACTGAATTAGACAAAGAGTAGTAAGTAGTAAAGAAACAATTAAATTATGTGAAAGAGGCTTGAAATATGAGAGTTCTAACAAGGTTTGTACAGAATTCCCTCAGTTTTGATTTATTGTCTTTGCAAATGAAGATATTCTCTCTCCTTCTAGTATGGGGAGAGTGTCTTTCATACAGAAATTTAATCCTCTACTTTTAAGAAAGAGAAAAGAGGTCAGAATGATCTGTTTGCACCTGCTGTTTTTCAAGTGCCTTTAATTCATAATAGTTAATATGCCAGGGTGGTATATTTCTAACTTTCATACCTTCTGGCACTACAAGATGTTCCAGACTCAGCTTGCATATTTTCTGCTCCAGTCCTAGAATTAGCCACTTCTCCAAGGAGTCCTGGTTTTATTACTGGAGAATAATATTAGAAACCAAGATTTAGGTCTTAGGTGTGCTCCTTGCTACTGCTATGTCATTGCTTCTAAGCCTTCTTAACTGACACTGCAAGAAAATATATGTGTATACTAACTTGTGTATATATATCTATAAATATTTTTTATAAACACGCAAAAGTACATACTGATGTCTCCAACTGAAATCTATTAACAAATAGATCTTTCTAGCCTCCTCCCCTTGCTTATCTTTAAAGTCTACTTCCATAACACGAAACCTAGCTCCCATCACCTGCCATCTACTGAATTAAATGATGAATACCTGTATACTTGCATAGCAGTGCTATGATTGTTAACCTATGTACTCTGCAGAACAACCTTATAACCTAGATTAAGGAGCTTATGTGCAGTTCCTTTTACCTTTAGTCTTACAACCTCCACTGACGTCATTAATTAGGTCAACAACTTTTCTTACTACCCACTTAAGTGAAGTTGTTTCATACATTTGTAATACAGTTAGATTCTTTTGTCAGTCTGCATTTCCTCCTGGGATCCTCAGCCTACCAAATGATTTTTTGAAATTTGTATACACTAAGGTTCCTTCTGAACTGAACATTCTATGGGTTTTGATATGAACAAAATGTCATGTATACAACATTATAGTATCACAGTAATTTGCACTGCCCTAAAGAGTCTCCAATGTTTCATTATTTTAACCCTCCTTCCTTCCCTTAACTCCTTGGAAATAACTGATAGACGTACCTTTAGTTTTGCATTTTTCATAATGTCATAGAATTGAAATTATACTGCATGCAACCTTTTTCCCTGGCTTATTTTATGTACACATGGCAAGGTATACTTTGGGTTCAGATTAAGATATTTTAGTATTTATTTTGTTTGGTGTTCTCTGTACTTTCTAGATCTATGATATGGTAATTATCAATATTTTTTAGAAAATCCTCAGCTATTGTTATTTTAAATATTTCATTTGCTCTATTCTCTCTTAATTCTTTTTTGGGGTATTTCAAGTATACGCATATTGCCACCTTTGAAATTCTTCCACATTGCTTG
Organism: Homo sapiens; assembly: GCF_000001405.40. Classification (NCBI taxonomy): domain Eukaryota; kingdom Metazoa; phylum Chordata; class Mammalia; order Primates; family Hominidae; genus Homo; species Homo sapiens. The sequence goes on from NC_000002.12 coordinate 83,377,556, forward strand.
GATGATTTGTTCTGTTTTTATATACTTCTTTCTCTTTACATTGTATTATGGGAAGTTTCTGTTGACATATTCAAACTCACTGATTCTTTATTTGGCCTATCTGCTATTGAGACCATTAAAGGAATTTTTAAATTTCTGTTAATAGTATTTTGACTTTTGGCATTTTTTTTATTCTTTGAGGTTTCATTTTTTTCCCTAATTATCCGTGTGTTTTTCTACACTGTTTCATTTTTCTATTAGAAGCCTTAACATATTAATAGTAGTTGCTTTAAATTTCCTGTCTGATTATTCTAAAATCAGTGATCTGTATTATATATAAATCTGGTTTTGATGCTTGCTGTGTTTCTTCAGACTATTATTTTTCTTTCCTTTTAGCATGATTTGTAATTTTTGTAAATAGGAAACATAACGTATTGGGTAATAGAAACTAAGTGAGGTTTTATTTTCCTAGGAGATAGGTTTTTGCCTAATGTTTTAATAAATAGAGGTACCAGAGGCTTCTGATTTTTCCTGCATCTTGTTTTTGTCTCTTTAACAGTCAGTTTCTTGCAGCTCTTCCAGCTATTATGATACAAGAGTCCTGTTGATGTGATGTAACGTATGAGTGAGGTAAAGCGTTCTGTATCCTAAAGTTAAGTCTCAATCTTTTAGTTGGCTTATTTCACTGGGTTGCAACCTTTACAAGTGTTTCTCAGCTTTCTCTTCACTTACTCTGGTGAAAGAGTAAAGCTAGAAGGAGTTCAAATTGGGTAAATGTATTTCTTCATAGTTAGGATAAGGCTTTGGTAAATTCTTGGTTCCAAGGGAGTAGGCATTTGTTATGGAAAATTCTCTGGGTGTATTTTAAAATGGTTGTTCCACCATTCCCCTGCCAGAGCTCTGGGAGAAACCTTCTTGGCTCTTAACAATGACATCTTGGAAAATTTCTGGATGTAAAACCAGAACACTTTTAAGACTTCAGCCAGTTGGACATTTTCACTCTCAGGTTAGTCCATACTCCATCTCCAGCAAGTGATCAAAATGCCCAATAAAATGCTCCTACCATTGTATGTCTCCATCAGTTGAGGCTTCTTATAAATAGATTTCTACTATGATTCTGTGTATTCACCTGCTACCTCTGATTCTGGGTTGGTTGTATCCAGTGTTACTTCTGTTCTCTGAAGTGTTCCAGAAAAGTTATTAATTTTCAGTTTGATTGCTTTTTTATTATTTTAAAGGAAGAGCTCAACAGCTTCCAAGATTTTTGCTCATCAGTGCTGAAACTGTGTATTTCCACACATTTTTAATTTTTTTCTTTCATCAAAATAATTAATGCAGGACATCTTGGGGGTGGGGGGGTCCTTATTAAAGACCTGGTAGAAAATAAGTCAACCCTCTCTATCTATACTGTGGATGTCTTTTCTAAATAAAGAAAAACAAAAGTCTGTAAGAGATTGTGTGGTAACAGAAGTTTCAAATCTGTAGATTTTTGTCTCATACTTCTTCTAAGCCACTCTACCCATCCAGTATTATTTTAGAACACTTGACTTTCAGTAATACCCTATGCAGTGAACAAATAGCTTAGAATTCCTTAGACATTCTTGGAATTTTAATGATTGCACTTCTTTGATTATATTTGCTCAACACAGCATGCACTTTTATTTTTTTCTTCTGTCAAAATTCTTCTTTTGTATTCAGTCTAAATCTTGTTTCCTCTCATCTTCTCATCAGAAACAATTCCTTGTTTTTTCCACACTCCAATTGGACCTGAATTTCCTTTTGCCTCCTTATGCAAATGCTTGCATATTCTGTCATGGTAATTAGCATCTATGTGTCTTGAGACCTGTACCTACTACTTTATTCAGAAGAACGTTTGTAAAGCAGACCCTCAACAAATGACTGTTGAAAAAGGAAATGAATAAATCAATACAATATATGAATAAAGAGCCATTTCCCTTGAGAAGTGGAACAAGACAAGGATGTCCACTCTTACCACTTCTATTTAATTTAGTACTGGATGTCTTCATCAGAGCAGTCAGGCAAGAGAAAGAAATAAAATGCATCCGGACAGGAGGGAAGAAGTCAAATTATCTCTCTTTGCTGAAGATATGATTCTATAGTTAGAAAATCCTAAAGAATCTGCAAAAAGGCTCCTAGAACTGATAAATGACTTTAGTAAAGTTTCAAGATACAAAATCAATGTATAAAAAATCAGCAGCATTTCTATATACCAACTGATATGATTTGGATTTGTGTCCCCACCTAATTCACAAATTGTAGTCCCTAATGTTGGCGGAGAAGTCTGGTGGGAGGTAACTGGATTATGGGGGTGGATTTCCCCTTGCTGTTCTTCTTGTGATACTGAGTGAGTTCTCATGAGAATGTTTAAAAGTATGTAGTACCTCCCTCTTCTCTCTTCCTCTTATTCCACATAAGATGTGAATGCTTCTACTTCGCTTTCCACCATGATTGTAAGTTTTCTGAGGCCTCCAGAGCCATGCTTCCTATACAGCCTAGAAAGCTGTGAACAAATTAAATGTTTTTTTTTTTTAAACAAATTACCCAGTTTCAGGTATTTCTTTAGAGCAGTGACAGAACAGACTAATACAGAAAATTGGTACCTATGAATAGTACCAATTAATAGGCATTCCTATAAAGGTACCTGAATATGTGGAAACGACTTTGGAACTGGGTAATAAGCAGAGGTTGGAACAGTTTGGAGAGCTCAGAAGAAGACAGCACGATAAGGGAAAGTTTGGAACGTCCTAGAAACTTGTTAGATTACTGTGGCCAAAATACTTACAGTGATATGGACAATAAAGTACAGGCTGAGGTTTTCTTAGATGGAGATGAGGAACTTATTGGAAACTGGAGCAAAGGTCACTTTGTTATGCTTTAGCAAACAGATTGGAGGCATTGTGTCCCTGCTCTAGGGATCTGTGGAAAACTAAACTTGAGGAAGATGATTTAGGGTATCTTGTGGAAGAAATTTCTACACAGCTAATTGTTCAAAACGGGGCCTAGCTGTTTCTAACTACCTATGCTCATATGCCTGAGCAAAGAGATGATTTGAAACTGGAACTCATATTTAAAAGGGAAGCAGAGCATAAAAGTTTGGAAAATTTGCATCCTAACCATGTAGTAGAAAAGAAAAACCCATTTTCTGGGGAATAATTCAAATTGGCTGCAGATATTTTAATAAGTAAAGAGAATCTGAATGTTAGTAGTCATGACAGTGGGAAAAACGCCTCAAAGGTATTTGAGAAACTTTCGTGTCAGCCCCTCCCATTATAGGCCTGGAGGCCTAGGAAGGAATAATGGTTTCCTGAGTCCAGCCCAGGGCCCTGCTGCCCTGGACAACCTCGAAACACTGCTTCCTGCATCCCATCCACTCCAGCTCCCGCTGTAGCTAAAAGGGCCTCAGATATGTCTCAGGCCACTGCTCTAGAGTGTGCAAGCTGTAAGCCTTTGTGGCTTCCATGTGGTATCAAGCCTGCGGGTGCACAGAGGGCAAGAGTTGAGGCTTGGAAGCCTCCTCCTAGATTTAAGAAGACGTATGGAAACACAAGTATGGATGTCCAGGCAGAAGTCTGTTGCAGGGACAGAGCCCTCATGGAGAACCTCTGCTATGGTAGTGCAAAGGGGAAATGTGGGGTTGGAGGCCCCACACAGAGTCCCCACTGGGGCACTGCCTAGTGGAGCTGTAAGAAGAGGGCCACTGCCCTCCAGACCCCAGAATGATAGATCCACTGACAGTTTATACTGTGCAACTGGAAAAGCTTCAGGCACTCAATCCAATCCTGTGAAAGCACTGCAGGGTCTGTACCCTACAAAAGCCACAGAGGCAGTGCTGCCTGGGGCCTTGGGAGCCCACTTCTTGCATCAGTATGGCCTAGATGTAAGATATGGAGTCAGAGGAGATTACCTTGGAGCTTTAAGATTTAATAACTGCCCTGCTGGGTTTTGGAATTGCATGGGGACTGTAGCCCCTTTGTTTTGGCCTAGTTCTTCCTTTGGGAACAGTAGTACCCAATGCCTGTAACGTCATTATATCTTGGAAGTAACTAACTTGTATTTGATTTTACAGACCCATAGGCAGAAGGGACTTGCCTTGTCTCAGAAAAGATTTTGGACTTGGACTTTTGAGTTAATGCTGAAATGAGTTAAGACTTTTGGGGGACTGTTGAGAAGGAATGATTATATTTTACAATCTGAGAAGGACATGAGATTTGGGAGGAGCCAGGGGTGGACTTATAAAGCTTGGATCTGTATTACCACCCAAATCTAATGTAAGACTGTCATCCTCAATATCAGAGGAGGGCCTGGTGGGAGGTAATGAGATCATGGGGGAGGATTTCCCCTTTGCTGTTCTTGTGATAGTAGTACTCAATAAGATCTGTTTGTTCAAAATTGTGTGACACCTCGCCCCTCTTTCTTTTCCTCCAATTTCAGCCATATAAGATATGCCTGCTTCCCTTTCACTTTCTGCCATGATTGTAAGTTTACTAAGGTCTCCCCAGCCATGCTTTCTGTACAGCCTACAGAACCATGAGTCAACTAAAGCTCTTTTCTTTATAAATTACCCAGTTTCAGGTATTTCTTTATAGTACTGCAACAACAAACTAATATACCAACAAAGTTCAGGCTGAGAGTGAAATCAAGAATGCAGTTTCACAATTGCCACAAAGGAAATGAAATACATAGGAATACAGCTAACCAAGGAGGTGAAAGATGTCCACAAGGAGAACTATAAAATGCTGCTGAAAGACATCAGAGATGACACAAATAAATAGTAAGATAATTTCATGCAAGTGGAAGAATCAATATCGCAAAAATGGCCATATTGCTCAAAGCAGTGCACAGACTCAATTTTTTTTTTTTACCAAAATACCAACATCATTCTTCACAGAAGGAGAAAAACATATTCTAAAATTCATATGGAACCAAAAAAGAGCCCAAATGGCCAAAGGAATCCTAAGCAAAATGAACAAAGCTGGAGGCATTACATTACCCAACTTCAAACTATACTATAAAGCCACAGTAACCAATATAGGCTGGTAATGGTACAAAATTAGACACATTGACCAGTTGAACAGAATAGAAAACTCAGACATAAAGTTGAACACCTACAGCCATCTGATATTTGACAAGGCCAACAACAAGCAATGGAGAAAGGGCTCTCTATTCCATAAATGGTGCTGGGATAACTGGCTTGCCATACACAGCAGATTAAAACTGGACCTCTGCATTTCACCACATAAAAAATTAACTCAAAATGGATCAAACATTTCAATGTAAGACCTGAAACTATAGCAATCCTGGAAGACAATCTCAGAAATACTCTTTTAGACATTGGCCTTGGCAAAGGATTTTTGGCTAAATCCCCGAAAGCAATTGCAATAAAAACAAAAATAGACAAGCTGGTGATAATTAAAATAAAGAGCTTCTACACAACAAAATAAACTAGCAAAAGAGTAAACAGACAACCTACAGAATGGGAGAAGATATTTGCAAACTCTGGCATTCCACAAAGGCCTAATATCCAGAATCCATAGGGAATTTAAACCAACAAGCAAAAAACAAATAACCCCACTAAAAAATGGGCAAAGGACAGGAACATACACTTCTCAAAAGAAGACACAGTAGTGGCCAACATGCATATGAAGATATGCTCCGCACCACTAATTATCAGAAAAATGCAAATCAAAACTACAATGAGAGACCATCTCACAGCAGTCAGAATGACTGTTATTAAGTCAGAAAACAACAGGTGTTGGAGAGACTGCAGAGAAAAGGGAAGACTTAAACACTGTTGGTGAGAATGTAAATTAGTTCAGCCAGTGTGGGAAGCAGTCTGGAGATTTCTCATAAAACTTAAAACAGGGCTACCATTCGACCCAGCAATCCCATTGCTGGTATATATCCAAAGGAAAACGAATTCTTCTATAAAGAAGACACATGTACTCATCTGTTCATCACAGCACTATCCACAAGAGCAAAGACATGGAATCAACTAGCTTCCCATCAATTATAGATTATATGAAGAAAATGTGGTACATATACACTATGGAATACTGGGTAACCATACAAAAAAAGGATAACATCATGCCATTTGCAGCAACATAGATGGAGCTAATGCAGGAACAGAAAATTGAATAGTGCATATTCTCACACATAAGTGGAGCAAAACATTGAGCACACATGTACATAAAGATGGGAACAATAGATACTGTGGACTACTAAGAGGGAAGGAGGGTGTGGGAAGGGCTGAAAAAGTACCTATTGAGTACTATGCTCACTACCTGGGCAATGGGATCTGTAACCCCAAACCTCAGAATCATGCAACATTTCCATGTAACCAATCTGAACATGTACCCTCTTTATCTAAAATAAAAGTTGGAATTTTAAGAAAACAATGGAATAAAATGAAGAAAAAATAGGGGCTGAACACTGCAGAAATATAAATAATTCTGAGTTATATAGAGTGTGGATATATTGCCTGGGTGAAGTCTTCCTTTTTACCTCCCTTTTTCTAGAATATAGTACCTACTCGTCATGATTCACATGCCATTTTATGTTCTTTTCTTTCAGCATGTAGTTAGAGATTTTGGTCTCAGGCCTGATTTTTTTCTTAGAACACATTAATCTATTTTACCTTTGAAAAAATTTCTAATACAATTTTTAACCAATAGATACCATATTAGTCAAGCTATGCTAAAGTGACAGCCCTCATATGTAAATGTCATACATAAACCAAGGTTTATTTTTGCTCCCTAATAAGGGTCTGTTCTGTGCTGCCTATGAATGTTGCTTACACATCATTATCCTCACTCCAGGGACCCTAAGGGACATAATAGCCACCAGTTAGAACATTGTGGTGACTATGACAGAGAAAAAGAAAACCTGTAGAAGGACACACTGGCTCTTAAAGATTCTTGTTAAAAGGGACAAATATCTATTTTCCAAACCCTTAAATTTTGGCAAGAAAAATCACATGGTAACCTGCTTGCAACAGGATAGGGAGGGAGAGGAATAAAATATTTTCAAAAAGTAATATAATCTAACATGGGTAAATTAAAATTCAGGAGAATAATTTGTACATGTTCTTTGTAATGAAGGTAAGCCAAATGAATGATTTCCTCAGGAGATTGTTTCTACATCAAAGGAAAATAAATGCAAATGCTTGTATTCGAAAGGCACCACACCTGGCTCTCAAATGAGATTCTGTCACTTCTTTTCAGTAGCAGGTGAATACAAAATTTGGCAGCTTTTTATTTTGCAAAACAGATAATGTTCTGGAAAGTTACATTCATATTGTATAAAAATAATAATGGCTTCTGATCTTTACAAAGACCCTGATTGCTATTGTAGTAAGGAATACGATGCAGAAAAGAAAGTTTTGCAGCCTTTCATGGATTACTTTATTTAGGGCCTAACAAATACAGATAATTGACATTACATTTGCTTTTACATCTGATTGTTATAACTGTAAACCTCACTTAAAATACAGAACTTTTTATGCTTGTATATAAAAGAGCAAAACCAGCAAACCTCAGTAAATAGAAGTCTTTCTATTTTTAGACTTCAATGCTTTTATGTTATTGATTAAAGAGTTTCTTAAATTGGCTACACAAGAAAAATAGCTATTGAAGGAAGAGGGACAACATATATGAGTCTAAATGCTAGTATCTATTTTGCTTTTCTAAGAACTCTGAACCATTAGTCATTGCCTTGTCTCCAGTATCTTCTTATCTTTATTGTCTTCTCTTCCATTCTTGCACAGGACACAAGAACATCTACTATGCACCCTACTTGTTTTACAAGTGTACAGTGGTTGGGTACTCTGCCATATCTCAGCTTTTCAGTCCTGACTTCACTGTTTCCTGCCAACTGCATGCCCTGTACTACCTATCCATAGCCTTCCAAATCAATTCTCAGTGGGTTCTCAGTACAATTGCCTCTAAGCCAAATGGCAAAGTCAATAACCACTGCAGAACATTATTTATTATTTTGCTCATAATATCAAAACCATGTCACCAGTAATTCCATCACACTTCTTGGATTTTTCCACCACCACAGTTATTTGAAAGAAAAAAAGTCATTTCCCAAGTTTTATTCAGCTTTTAAAATGCAAACATATTATGTGAATGATAAGTGTCTTAAGCACGTCATGCTACCAAGAAGGTTTGACCAGGTGGTACCTAAAGTTCCTGAGGACAAAACATCGAAGTTGGGATTAAATGAATGTATCCCCACATTACTTGAGTGCAACAACTGTACTCCAATTTTCTCTATATTCTTAAAGCCTGCCACAAAATAAGCATTCAATAACTGTTAGTTAGCTATTTTATCTTTGGAAACTCAGATTTTGTATACGTTAGCATACTTGATTCTCATGAACAAAAACCCAGTCCTTGTTTCATGTTATTGTCCTATAAGGAAATAGAAAAACAAGTGTGAATATAATGGAATAAATAGGTAATATATTGATATTGATCAATTGGTCAACAATAGTTAATATACTGATGTTGATCAATTGGACAATTGGCCTAAGTGGGCAACAAATATTTAGAAAATGTTTCTCTAAAGTTGTTATAGAGATGTGCAAACTATAGAATTAAGCACATCTCAAAGCCTTTTTATAGTAGAAAAATGACAAATAAAAGCAGTGTTCTGGACAGACGGTAAAGGCTGTGCCTAAACATTTCTATTACTGGAGGGTTACAAATGGCCTGAGACCACTGAACTCAACATGCCTTCATTGTAAACATGTGCCTTTTTCTCCAGAAAATTCACACTATTAAGTTACAATTGTTCAAATGTTAAAGACATGAAGTTCCTTGTTTTAAAATATAGATTTTATTTTATTCAGATATGGAGATACCAATGGATAAGGAGAGGATTACCATTAAATGATTCTTTACTGCCTCCAGTTCCCGAGTTCAAGTGATGCTCCTGCCTCAGCCTCTCGAGTAGCAGGAATTACAGGCACCCACCACCACGCCCAGCTAAGTAGAGATGGGGTTTCATTATTTTGGCTAGGCTGGTCTCAAACTCCTGACCTCATGATCTGCCAGCCTAGGCCTCCCAAAGTGCTGAGATTACAGGCATGAGCCACTGCACCCAGCCCAAATGATACAAACTTTTTAAGTCCTTGAATGTTCTTAATTAACTTGATATGGGAATTCTTTTTGACTGAGTTGTTATCTACCATCACAGTGAGTGGAGAAAGAATGCAATTCAGTGTTGTTTATAGCTATCTTGGTCCCTAAACATTCCAGAAGTTGATAATCATATTGATCACAGGCAAAACACTCTGAGAACTCTATGGAGGAAACGGTCCTTTAGTCTTGGTGTTTGTTACCTCTGGCTCTTACAGATATTACACCCTCTGTCACATATTTCAGTTTTATCCTTCCTTAGTTGCCTTTGTTTAAGAAAACAGAAATTCCCTGTCCTATGGCTTACTGAATTGCATTTGTTTATAGCCATGTAATGTTCATTTGCTACTTTGGTAATTGCCTGGATGATAAAAACTTTAATGGAGGGTGAAGTATTTGGTAATTGTTGCATCTTTCATTCAAGTCTTGAGAATTCCTGTTGGATAACCTTATAAAGTAAGTAAATACAGGAAAACCAAAAGGCAAGATGGGTATTTAACAAGTTCATTTGAACTTTATTTTCCAAGTAATAACGTTGTTGCCAAAGACATTCAAAAGACCCTCTTAGGAAGTTTAGTGAACACATATGAGAAAACTTACATTTTCCCCATAAGGAAATGAGACATTTTGCTTGTAAAATCAAAATTATAATACCTTGTAATGAACTACTACACAGGTGTAGTTCCTTATGACAACAAAATTATAATTATAGGCAAACAGCTGGGTGCATTCTGACTTGGTTCATTGTTTTTGTCTAAGAGATGTTTTAAGGAATAAAGGGAAAACAACAATGCTTTATTTTTTTCTTTAGCATCTTAGGATGGTTTTTTAAAAAATGTGATACAACTCAAAACAATATTCCAATGAACACTTTACCTAAAAGAAAATTAATTGAGCTAGAGAATGAGCTTTACATCAATTAGAAAAATTAATCTTTAAAAATACTTACCACCTTTTAAATAATAATAAGATAACAGTCATCATTTGTCCAAAGCCAAATTGTTCTATTTTTCAAACTTAGGAGATAATATGAGGCTGTATTTTATCAAACTATTTTAGAGGCAAAATGAAAAATTTAATTTAATTCTCTAATATGGTTTGTGACTAAATGAAGAGTCTGTTTTTTTATGAGTAACATCATGGGCTGAATTGTGTCTCCCCAAAATTCATATGTTGAATCTCTACCCACTCGTGTGACTATATTAAATATAAGGCCTTTTAGGAAATAACTATGGTTAAATGAGGTTACAGGTGTAGGGACAGAATCTAATAGAATTGGTGTCCTGATAAGGCCACCAGTCTTTGTGTATGGAGAGCTCTCTGTCTCCATGCACATGAACCAAAGAAAGACCCTGTGAAAACACAGAGAGGAGGAGGCCATCTGCAAGCCAGAAAGGCAGTACTCACCAGAATCAGCCCATGCTGGCACCCTGATCTTGGATTTTAGCCTCCAGAACTGTGAGAAAATGAATTTCAATGATTTAAGACATCTAGTCTGTGATATTTTGTTATGGCAGCTTGACCTGACTGATACAGTGGGATTAATCAAGGTTTATGGGATTATTGACATATTTGACCTATTTAAAATCCCTGCTATGTTTGTGGATGGATCCTGCCTCCTTTCTTATAATCTTGAACTTGATATATACTCGTATTTCATGACAAATCTGCTTAAAAAGAAGTTGTTTTCACAATAGTCCATTTCCTATATTACACACACACACACACACACACACACACACACACACACACACACACACACAATCATGCCATTGTCTCCTGAAAAATCTCATTATGGTGTTTTGCCCTAAGGTTTAAAAACAAACAAAGGGAAACCTTATTTTAATGTTTAATAAATGCACCTTAACCAGAGAGTATGCCTTGGGTTTTCTTCCATACTTCTGCTATGGGTGAAATGAACCAGATATTTTTCCTATTTGCAGGTATTTCCAATCTGATGTGGTAGAACTGGTGGGAGTGGATGCTGTAGCTTCTAGCTAGGGAGGCCCTTCTCGTAGACAGTCCTCTTGCTTTAGAGCAAAGTTTCTCAACTTTGAATGTGAATATAAATCACCTGAGCATTCTTTTAGCCCTCACCTGAGATTGCACATATTGACCTGGGGAAGCTGATGTGGCTACTCTGTGGAGAAGATTTTGAACATAAAGGATTAAGAGTGCCCCACATATCACTAAATAATGAAACACAAAGCATGTTTCCCCCTTGAAAACCACAGTTGCTTTTGTTCCAAATCATGCATCCGAAATTACCCAAAGTGGAGGTCTAAACAGACCAACTTCCTCAGATGACAGTGCCCTTTGAGTTGGATGATACATATTTAGGAAGTGCTTAAAACTGCCTAGAAATGCTTAGTCATTAAAGAAAAAACTAGGGAGGGAGCATACTTGTTGTTTGTCCCTGGGTAGTTTGACAGGTTAATCCCCATCTTGGGTTCAGAAATATCCATTCACCATCCATGAGTCCTGAGATTAAGTCCAGTTTCTGCTTTTACTTAGTCTCTGCCACCACTCAGGTATGTTGGCTGCAAGACATCCCACAGAAGAGCCAGTAGGCTTAAGCCCCTGGGTCCGGACAGCAATCCTGGGAAAGATCCTGGGGGATTCTCCATGAGAAAATGGGTGGGTAGTGGACGCGGCTTGATTTACAACATTTAACTTTTGAGAAAAAAATATATGAGTCTCCATTTGAATCCTTATTCTCATGCACACAGATTTTAAGACCAAGATTATTTGGAATTGTTTAGCTATACCTCTTTTAAAACACTACAAAATCAAATCTTATTTTAATTTGTAGCAGTAAGGGAGAGCAAATTCAGGAGAAGATATTTATAGAATTTTAGGTCCTGGTTGCAGTGATTTTAAGAAAGATCATGATAGGCAGGAAATTGATTGAAATTTGGGGGAGTTTTTGAAAATAGTAGCTAAGGAATGGTGGTTATAGCAGGGTGAGGGTCTTAAAGCAAGGATGGATATGAAAGCTGTTTGTTTTAATAAGTAAAATATTTAGTTGTTCTACAAGGATTTTTCTCAATCAGGGAGGATGTGGTCATTTGGACTTTTTCACTTTAGAAATCCCACTCATTCCTCTGGCTCTTGATGCCTCTGCTCAGAGGCTTCTTTGAGCTGTGTGCATAGCTGAAAATCCTGATAATTGGACTTGGCTCCAGAACACAAAATGGAGGGCATAGGCCATGGCAGTGTCCAGCCATAGGTTGCAGAGTCACCAATGGATGTCAGGAATGAGGGTGCAGTTTGAGAAACCTTTCTGAGCCACCTATTTAAGTAGCTCTCTGCCTGGTGGCTACCCTGGACATCCAGCCAGATGTGGGTGTGGTGTCTAGACAGAGTTAGTGCAAGCAAAATCAGAATGCAGGTGCTTGGGAAGGTCAAAACTCAAAAGGAGCCTACCTCCTCAGAATAGTGGCCACGTAAAGTGATTAACAAAATGTAGGGAGACATAGTTTTCTAAGCTCCTACATGTCCATTAACTAACTTGATCTAATCAACTAACATGATCACATTCTGATTTTATATATAAGCAAACTGAAGCCTTGGAACATGGCTTAGCCACCTTAGGTTGCACAGACGAGCTAGCAGTCACTCAAAGACAGGCCTGTGCTACTTTACAGCCCAGGCTATTTCTGTTGTCCCACTGGCTTCCTGGCATGGAGCAAAGCTCATCTGCCTTGGTGTTCTCTGGCAAATAGGCAGCTCTCTATAAAGTGTTTGGAGTTCTGGTCCAAGAGTTTTGGCTTTTCAGGGCATCTTTCTAGCCCAGAGTCTGTGGCCTTTTCTTGTTGCCCTAGCTGAGAATGCTGCCAGAGATAATCCTGGGTAATGTGTGGAAGAGGATGAGTCAAAAGTGTGGAAACTCAGCACATAAATAAAGACAAAGCAACACAACCATCAAAATTAAATCAGGAAAAGCAAAATAACTACTCTTCTTGGCTGGTTAGTCATGTGGGGCCTGGGTCTGGGTCTGAGATGAACCAAACACATTTCTGTGTGGAAATTTCATATAAAGTCCAGGGCCTAGATACCCTAAAGTTATGCTGAGCACAGAGTCTGACCAGTCTGCCAGTTGTCACAACTGAGAAAGGGAGCACTAATGATATCTAATTGGTAGAGGTTGTGGATGCTGCCACACATCCAATCAGGAATGGTCAGCCTCTGCGATGGTGAAGTTTTTGTGCCAACCTGAGTGGGCCTCAGGCACCCAGGTGTTTGGTTAAACATTATTCCTGGGAGTGTCTATGAGGATGTTCTGAGTGATAATAACATTTGAATTGGTAGACTGAATAAGCAGATTGCCTTCCATCATGTGAGGGTGCTTCAGCCAATTCCTTGAAGGTGTAAGTAAAATAAAAGAATGAGTAAGAAAGAATTCTTTTTCTCTGCCTATCTTTGAGATGGTACATTAGTTTTCTGCCTCAGACCTAGACTTGGACCTCTCAGCCTCCACAATTGCAAGAGCCAAATATTTGGTAAATCTCCTGCTCTGTTTCTCTCCCTTTCTCTTTCTCTCTCTTTATATATCTCTATGTATCTATGATCTATCTATCTCATCTCCTATTGGTTCTATTTTTCTGGAGAACTCAGACAAATATAGCCCTTTACAACAACAAAAAATCTGGTCCAAAGGTCAATAGTGCTAAAATTCAGAGGCCTGTTCTACCGTCTTTGTTCAATTATCTGCTTATTTTTAGTATTGTTCACGATCGAGGAAATGTTTTAGAATATTTTTAGCCCAAGAACAGGAAAATATATTGGCTTCAGTTCTCAGATCCAGGCTAAGCTCAAGGAGCAGGCCATCATGTGTCAAAGTTTCTTGTTTCTCTGCTTAGAAGATCATTTTTAAATTGTATGACACAACACAGCTGGGTGTGGTGGCTTACACCTGTAATCCCATCACTTTGGGAGGCCAAAGCAGATGGATCGCTTGAAGTCAGGAGTTCAAGACCAGCCTGACCAACATGGCAAAACCCTGTCTCTACTAAAAATACAAAAATTAGCTGGGCATGGTGGGGTGCATCTGTAATTCCAGCTACTCGGGTTGCTGAGGCATGGGAATCACTTGAACCCAGGAGGTGGAAGTTGCAGAGAGCAGAGATCGCACCACTCCAGCCTGGGTGATGGAATGACATTCTCCCAAAAGAAAAAACAAAATGTATGACAGAACAGTGTCTGCACAGCAGCATTTAAAACGATGTCTATTACACATATGAGCACTGCACCGCACCCCAGGAAAATACTAAGAGAATAATTATGGTCAAAGCATGTAGTACAGACATAAGCCAAGATCCAAGAATTCCCAAATTGAACCAAAGGAACTGATTTCTTTGCCAATCTGAAGCATGTACAAAACGAGAAATAAAGGCTGGATGTGGTGGCTCACACCTGTAATCCCAGAACTTTGAGAGGTTGAGGCCTACGGATCACTTGAGGTCAGGAGTATGAGACCAGCCTGGCCAAAATGGTGAAACCCCGTCTCTACTAAAAGTACAAAAATTAGCCAGGGGTGGTGGTGCATTCCTGTAGTTTCAGCTGCTCTGGAGGCAGAGGTCAGAAAATCGCTTGAACCTGGGAGGAGGAGGTTGCAGTGAGCAGAGATCGCACCACTGCACTCCAGCCTGGGCGACAGAGCAAGACTCCGTCTAAAAAAAAAAAAAAGAACCAGACATAAGAATATTAGCCAAATCATGATAATTTGACGATTTGTTTCCTTTTTATTTCTGTATTTACGTTTGTAATATTAAAAGTCCCAGAAAGTTTTGTGGCAACATTTTTCTCATAGGCTAGCAAAAGTTTCTCCTTGAGGGTCCAACATTATATCCAAGCCAAGTCTTCTTTACTTTGAACTAACGACTGTCCAACATCATGGAAACTCTAGGGGTGGGAGTTATAAGACCTTAGTTACATGGCTTAGTGTTTCTGCTCATCTAGGAACTAGAGCAAGCAGGATTCTCCCAACTTTTGGGTACTCTTACAAAATATAATATGAAGTGGCTTTTTAGCAGAGGTAAGCTGTGAAAAATTCTACTTCATTTGTTAAAGGTTTTTTGAATAAAATCTGATAAACAGTTTTCTCCCTTTTTTGGAGGGGGGCGGGGGAGGGACCAAGTCTTGCTTTGTCGCCCAGGCTGGGGTGCAGTGGCGTGATCTTGTCTCTCTGGCTCACTGCCACGTCGGCCTCCTGGGTTCAAGTGATTCTCCTGCCTCAGCTTACCCAGTAGCTGGGACTACAGGCACACGCCAAAATGCTCAGCTAATTTTTTTGTATTTTTAGGAGAGACAGGGTTTCGCCATGTTGGCCGGGCTGGTCTCGAGCTCCTGACCTCAGGTGACCCACCTGCCTCGGCCTCCCAAAGTGCTGGGATTACAGGGGTGAGCCACCTCGCCCGGTCTTTCTCTCTTTTTGAATTAACTTTACAATTATCCCTTTTTTCCTGCAAAGAGATAGGCCAAAATTGACCTAAGCGCCTATTTTGAAGGCAGACATAAGTTTATTGAGATAAACGAATCCCCATGCAATTGCCTACAGTCAGGAATATAGAATTTTGTATCTCAACTCTAATACCAGATGTTATATATCACTTAATAATCTCTCTTTATTCATAATGCCCAATGTGGTTGTTAAGTATCGTGGTAATGTTTTGGTCCCAATAAATAGAATGGGTATATGCCAGATGAGGAGATTTCTAGAATAGAGGTCTTCAGAAATACAAAACAAAATATTTGGGGGTTCAGCTTAAGTAGTTTCACTTCCCTGTGAGATCTGTAAAGTTGATGCAGCCCCCAAATACTCATCGTTTCTAAGCAAGGTCTATTCTAAATTCTTTTATATAAACATATAGTCTCTAAAGCTAGCAAGCCTCCCAAACAATATTTCCGTGCTAAAAGAAGGACTCAATATGTCCTTTTGTGATATGCCATAATAGCCTATTGTAGATTTCTGTCATCTACTTTGTTTTATTTACCTTTGTCATTTACCTTTTCTGAGAAGTGTGGGTGATATAAAGGTTGAAATGCCTGATTAAGCATCAAACCTTAGCACAATGTTTAATGACAGTTTCAGACAACTAAATAACCTTACATGGGAGAGATTGGCTGGTCCTTTTTGTGTTTATATTACTTGGGTACCATTGAGTTTCTTGAAACTTTGGATTAATATTATTTTTATCAAATTCAGAAAATTTTAGCCATTATATCTTTAGATATGTTTTTCTAGCCCATTTTCTATCCTGTCTCCTTCTGAAACATTTATTATACATTCATGAGTAATTTTGTAACAGCCATACAAGTCTCTGCTTATTTTTTGTCAATTTATTTCTCTCATAATTTTTTTTTTCTGATTGGTTAATTTCTATTGATCTCCCTTCAGATTTATTGATTCTTTCTTCCATCATCTAAAATATCCTATTGATCCCAATTAGTGAATAGTTGGTTCAGTTATTGCATCTTCTAATTCAAAATTTCCATTTTTATAGTTTCTATCTATCTAATAAAATCCCAGTTTGTTGAGTCATTGTCATTACAGGTTTCACACACTATGCCTTTTAAGTTTTTACCCTCTGTTAATAGATCTGTGTGTAGGTTTTGGGCTGACTTTCAAGTCTCAGTCAGCCCTCAATTCTTGTTTTGCTTTTGCTTTCCAAGGGGTTGTCTTGAGTTTCCCTATGTGGTCAGGGATGTGCAGAGAGTTTACTATCATTATCATAATTTCCCTGTTAAATACCTGATTCACCTGTCACTCCTCACATCCGGAATGATAGAGATATGGGTTCTCCCCCTTCATTTCTTATTGAATGTGTTACTTTTAGCTGATAGATCCACAGCTTGCCCCTGCCCCTGCCCCACGTCCATATCTTCTGACAACTCTGCCAATTTTCCAGGCAATGAGAAGTGCTGCGGCTGCCAACAAAACTGAAGGAAGGAGTAATCAAAACATCCCCAAGCATGAAAGCATTAGACTCCTGCTGTTCTTCCCACAGCTACAGCAATTTTTAAATAATACATTATTCTCATTTTTTCCTGACTTTGAAGTATTGAAATGATTTATTTTGAACATTGTGTCTAGTTTGAGAGGTTGAACATACAAAAGGGCAATGGCCAGACCATATAGGAAAACAGAACTCTGACCTACTACTCCTGCAAGAAGCAGTCCAGGAAACCACACTACAGCTGCTGCAGCAATAGACCCAGAATGGTCAGGACTTTTGTATTTTTTTCTTTTTTCTATTTTCTCTTAAGATCAACTGTACAACACTGTCATATAAAAGTCCCTCTTCTAGTTAGCCCACCTTCCATGCCAAAAACCTCTAATCGGAGTATCACTGAAGCCTTTATTTCTTTTCATTATAAAGCTTTCCCATTTATCTGTCTGTCTCTGAGATTTTGTCAAATGCAAAAAAAAGGATGCCTTGACTGTCTTGTTATAGCAAAGTCTGAATCATTGCTGATTCGTTCTCATTTGTGTGGTCTTGGTTTATTTCCACAACTTTTGTACTCATTTGCTGTGTAGTCATGCAGTTACACCTGGCATTTCTTTCTCTAAGATTGTCTTATAATAGAGAAATAGAAAATCCTTCTTGAAGGTTTAAATGTTAAATGGGCACTTTTTTCATCCTAAGAGAAGGTTCATTGTTCTTATTCTTATTTTTTTCTTTTTATTTTATTAGCTATTTCAGGACAATCATGTTTTGTTTCTAAGTTCCTTCTGCTTAGAATATATGTGGGATCTTAAGAGGCTTATTTCCTGGTGTTTTAATGAATTGGGTAGAAGAATATAATTGTTTTATATCACTGTAAACTCATTACTTTGGAAGATCTATGTCTGATCTGTTCTACATCTCATTTAAAATGCTCCATGAGTAGTTAAATGTCCATCGTAGTATGTTGAATTGTGCTCCAATTCATTATCCCAAAAGATATGCTTAATTTCTAACCCCCAGTATCTGTGAACAGGAACATATATATGAATAAGGTATTTGCAGATATAGTCAAATTAAAATGTTATATTTGATTAGGATGGGCTCAATGAAAAGTAGTTGGCACTCAGATGCAATGTAAGTTGACTACACTGTGGTCAGACAGACTCACCAACAGGGAGCTCAGAGGTGCTCACAGAAGCATACTGTTGAAGTTTGGGAATCTCAAGCTACGGCAGAAAAAGAATTTTGACAGATTCTTGAGAATATTGTCATCAATCCGTTCTCAAAAAGACAACCAGATAAGCTGTTAATGAAGTTAAATATGGCTACTAGTTTTATAGCAATACAACAGAATACCACTTTTACAGAGTATTAATAGTATGTTGAAAACGGAAAATCAGTAGAGAATATGTATAGGATTTTAGAACTTTTTCTGGGTGATTTTAAGACATTCTCATTTAGGCAGAGAAGTGACCAAGAATGGGCATAACTTATGCAATTACAGTTTTGGATGTGTGGCTAGATGAGGACAAGATGAAGGTCTTGAAGCAAGGATTTAAGACCAAACCCTCAACCTTGATGTGTAAGCCATTTTAGCTGGTTCAGAGTCTTACATTCTAGGAGTAAGTATTCTTGGAAAAAAAGCAGCTAATTCCTTTTTGCCTGCTTACCATACTGTTTAGTACAGAAATAGGAAATTATGTTTGGCTCAGAATGATTTAGTGAAGGATAAAAGAGGTGTGTCTGTTTAAATTCTCAAAATAAAGGACATTTCTGTTTAATGACTTCTTATCTTGCCAGAAATGCATTGCTGTTGAAGGAGAATTTCATAAAAGAAGACTAGAGAAGTAAAAAATTATGAATTCCGAAATTCAGCTCCTTTCCTCTTGTATTTAAAAGGAAGAATGTCTTTTTAGCTATTCTCAATAGGTTACGCCATTAGCAAGAAAGAAAAGGACTTTTAAAAATCCTTGCCTATAAATACAATATAATATTACGTAATAGTAATTATGAAGTGATGCTGCACTTTTTAAAACATCTAACAAATATATTCTGAGACTACTATGCTCTTTTTCAAATACTTGGGATAAATTCCACAGACAAAGTTTGCAGTTGATGCTCTTATATTCAGTTTGTGTTATTCAAAAGAATATTCAATAAGCTACTTCAAATAATTACATTAGAAAATATTCAAGTGTCAGTAAATTCTAATCTTATTTTCCTATTAAACGCTGAGTAGTTTCTAGCTTATTTACATGTAAACAAAGTTATACACTAACTCCAAGACCAATTATTTTATAACATTGTATAGCAAGATTTAATAATGACTTCTCTATGAAAATACATTTTAGAAATAGGTCAGTACGTAAATTTTGACAGGTGAATCAGAAGTATAAAAAGTTGAGTGATACTTCTATATTAAAACTCCCTTCATTTTAACTTATGAAAAGTTTTCTTAATACTCAGCTCTATAAAAATAAAAAGCAGAGTAACATCCAAAAATGGATGGTAACCCTATATCATAAATACGTGTCCGTGGATATGTAAATTAATTTTGAAAAACATCTATTTCATTAAAAGATAAATGTCCAATAAAATTTTAATTTGTATTATCATTTATATTTAAACAGTTAAATATTTGCATTACTTTAGTCATTATTTATTATATAATGTGCAATGATAGCATGCTAAGATGGTAAGTCTCAGACTAATTGTTTTTCATTGAAATCTTTTTATATGTACACACACACGAACACATATGCATGTACTGTTCTAAAGAAAAATAAAAACAAAAACAGAAAACCTAAATGGGCAATTTTTAAAAATAACACACATTTTAAGAACATTAGAGATGCAAATTTCTGGGAAAAATAGAGTGTGAATATGTGATTACAATTTTAAGATTAAAAATGTACATTGCTTAGTGTTAATAAAGATATTCAAAGCAGATGTTCAATAAAGATGTTCAAAACAGAATGTGTACATTGATAAAACAAATTAAATTACCTGTTCAAATAAACTAATCAATATTCTTTAGGAGAATACAATAAAATCTGAATTTTTCACAAATAAAATTTACAATGTCAAGAATATAATATAATAATCTTCTTATAAGAAGAAATGGAAAAATGTGACCTAGCCATAAGATAATAATAGAGATTGACTCTGAGCTGACTCAGACATAGGTATCAGAAGATGAGGAATTTAAAAAGGCTCTTATAACCATACTCATAAAGTAGGGAAGAGTGGGTTCATAATAAATAAAAAGACGGAAAAACACAGCAGGAAGATTAATAAGTTTAAAAACATTTTTGGAATTCACAAAATTAAAATCTTTAAAAATAACTGTTGTGTAGGCTTAATTGAGAATGGATATGATATAGGAAAGCATGCATCTTTAAAGATGTGCAATAATAATTATCTGATGTGAAAAACAGATTTTAAAAATTAAAAAAAGACCCAAATCTCAGGGACATATGAGAAAATATGAAAAGATTTAACAAACATATAACTTTTAATCCAGAGAAATAAGAGAGAATGGGATAGAAAAGAAAATGTTTGAAAAAAGCTTTAACTATCTTCAAAATTCTCAGAGACATAAATATACAGGCTCAAGAAGCTCAGTAAACTTCATGAAGAATAATTTTGTAACTACTATCAGCATTATTGATAATGCTAACAATATATTTATTAACACTAAGAAAATAAAAACAAAAGCAATACAGAAAGATTTAGAGAAATATTAATCACCAACCAGAAAAAAAAAGGCATAAGATGTGAAGGCTGAATCCTCCATCCAGGAAATAAAATGTGTTTGAAAAATAAACACATTATTACATAATCTCAAAATGAAAGAAAACTAAGAGCATTTTCTGCAAGAACTATCCAACAAGAAATGTTAAAGGAATTCCTTCAAATTGAAATTAAAAGAATATATTTTGAAAGCATCAGTAATGATACATATGAGGGTAAAATAAATGAATATTTTTTGTTACTTTATTTTAAATATATAACACTGTTTAAATAAAAAATGATAAGACCATGCTGTAAGTTTTTAATACATGAAGGCTTAATACATATGGCAATTATAACATAAATTATGTAAGTTAAAGGATCTATACTATTGCAAGACTTCTACATTTTAAGTGAATTTGTGCAATATTAACTCTAAAAAACTGCAAAATTTAGAGATATATTTTAATCTCTAGAGAAAACACAAAATGGTATAGTTAAAAAGCCAATAAATAAATTAAGGTAGAATTCTAAACATCTAAAACCGTAATGACCCAAAATCTAATAATCAAAACAAAATGAGGAAAAGAGAAAGAACTGAAAAATAGAGGAAATGAATAGTAATATGTGGTGAACTTAAATCCAAATATGTCAATAAATATATTTAATAATGTCTAGATATTACAATTAAAAATAGAATAGATGTTAATGGAAAATAAAGCAAGATTCACTGAAATATAAATATATAGTTTTAATCTAAATGTATGGAAAAAGATATTTCGGGCAAATAGTAAGCATAAAAAGACTGAGTGGCAAAAGTAATATTATATATCAACTATATTATACTAAATAGTTAAATAAATTAAATATATGAAATACTAACTTTAGGACAAGAGTACTACCAGAGGAAAAAAGGAACAATTCCTAATAAGTTTAAATTTATTACAAATATATAACAATCATGTCTATATATGTTTTGAATAACAGAACTTCGAAATGCATAAGCAAAAATGGAAACCTTTAAAGGTAAAATAGATGGTTCTGCAGTTATAACAGGAATGTGATTGTCAGCACAGGTTGCCATAACAAAATACCATAGACCAGGTGTCCTAAAACAACTGAAGTTTTTATTTTCTCATAGTTTTGGAGTCTGGAAGTCCACTATCAGAATGTCAGTATGGCCAAGTTCTAGTGAAGTCTCTCCTCCTCCTCGCAGATGTTGTCTTCTCTCTGTGTCCCTACATAGTAGAGTGTAATCTCTGTCTCTCTCTCTCTCTCTCTCTCTCTCTCTCTCGCTCTCTCTCTCTCTCTCCTTCTCTCCTCTGTGTGTGTGTGTGTGTATGTGTGTGCGTGCAACTCTTCTAATAAGACCAGAGTCCTATCAGATTAGGACCCAACCCTTATAACCTTGTCTAACCTAAATTACCTCCTAAATACCCTATCTCTAGATACAGTCACATTGTGAGTTAAGGCTTCAATATATGACTTTGGGGAGGGAAACAATTCAGTTGATAGCAAGGTGATTTTAATGGTCTTATATCAACAATTTACATAATGATAAGACAAAAATTCATTAGAGGCATAGAAAGTCAGAAAATCTATTTTAATTGCCTTGAAATAATTGATGATCTAGAGAAGAATACATCTAATATTTGGAACATAAACCTGCTCTACAAGTGTGTATTGTATGTTTACAAAATAGGGTATATACTAGATAAAACGAGTCATAAAAAATTTTTGAAAAATGGGATTATAGATTATTTGTACTATAGTAAAATTAATAATCAAATATTTTTGGAAAGCCTAGATATTTTGAAATTAAACAAAACACTTTCAAGTAATCAACACATTAAATTAAAAAAGTATAAGAGAAATTAGAAAATACTTTGAACTGAATGATAATAGAAAATAATCTATAAAGTTTGCAGAATTCATAGCTTTATATATTTTAAAAAAGGAGAAAGACTTAAATTCAATTATTTAATATTCTACCTTAAGAAGGTAGAAAAACTGGAGCATTGTTGAAAATATGTCAGGGGTAGAGAGGAGCACAGCCTACCTGTTAACCTAAGGGGTTTAGATAAGCCTAATCATCATATACAAATGTAGCTTCTAAATGGGTAGATTTTACCTTCTTTTTGGTTGAATAATATTCCATTATGTATGTATATTACATTCTTTTCTGTCGTGTTCAGCAACATGGATGGAACTGGAGGCCATTATATTAAGTGAAATAAGCCAAGATACAAAAAAGTGGATCTCATGATGATACAGCATAGATTGGTGGTTAACAGAGGCTAAGAAGAGGATGAGGGAGTAGGGAAATAAAGGAGAAAAAAAGAATATAAGTGTACTTATTACCAGTGAACTGTACACTTGAAAATGATAAAGATGGCAAATTATATATGTATATTTACCTCAATAAAATATTAGAAAAACAATTATGTTTTTCTAATGTTCAGTATACATTTCTCAGTAGTTCTATTCAAATATATTGGACAATAAGTATTGAAGGAATGAATATTGCCACAAGTAACAAGTATCAAAGCAAGCAATAAACCTGTCATTCATTCCCCTGACTTGTGTCTATACGTATTTTTGTAATTCCGTTTTAAAGGTGGTTAACATGAATTTTTGCATACATGACTTTTGTCTTACATTGAATTACACTGATGTCTTTTACTCATAAACACTTTATGTCAAAATTAAATATAGTCATTATGTGTGACAATTAACAATATAATTTTATGAGATCTCTTGGGTAAAAATATGATCTTGATGAAAACAGACTGTGCATGCATTAAAATGAAAAGTGTACTTAAAAATATCCCTGATGAAAACAGATTGTTCATGCATTAAAATGAAAAGTGTACTTAAAAATATCCCAGGTGACAACTTTCTTTGATATTTCAAAATTTCACAGGCAATTAAAATTGACTTTCTCGCCTCTGGCTGCTTTCTTTTACTGGTGGGAATACAAGAAGGAAAAACAGTAAGATAAAAGGCATAAGGTTTATAGCCATGTGTCAGGAACAAATAAAATTGCAACTAATTATAAGAATTTGAAACCAACATATAGTTACTTTACAGGAATGTTTTGTGTTTTAATTTAAGGAAAGTTATTTAAATCAGTGATATATAATCACAAAAAAGACAAATGCAATAAAAGGTGAATTCAAAAATTTAAATCACCCAAAATTACCCACTTGTCAATTCATCGAAGATCAATATTATTTTAACTCTAAAATATTTAGTTGTTCCTTAGCTTAAACTATGTGAACACATCATAATTTATTAAAATAAATTTCTAGTCTTGGCTATTTAAATAATTTCAAAACTGTTAGTATTATAAACAGAATTAAAAACAAAAATCACAGGATCACCTAAACAGACACAGAAAAAGCATTTGACAAAATCCAGCATCCATTTATGATTAAAACCCTTAGCAAAATTGGCATACAAGGGACATATCTCAATGTAATAAAAGCCATCTATTATAAACCCACAGCCAACATAATACTGAACAGGGAAAAGTTGAAAGCATTCCCTCTAAGAACTGAAACAAGACAAGAATTCCCACTCTCACCACTTTTATTCAACATAGTACTGGAAGTCCTAGCCAGAGCAATCAGAAAAGAGAAAGAAAGAAAAAGGCATCCAGTTCAGTAGAGAGGAAGTCAAAGTGTGGCTGTTTGCTGATGATATGATTATATATCTAGAAAGCCCTAAAGACTACTCCATAAAGCTCCTAGAACTGATAAATGAATTCTGAAAATTTTCAGGATACAAAATTAATGTACACAAATCAGTAGCTCTGTTATACACCAATGGCAACCAAGCTGAGAATTAAATAAAAAACCCCTTTTACAATAGCTGCAAAGATAAAAATAAATAAATAAATAAATAAATAATACACTTAGGCATATACCTAACCATGGATGTGAAAGACCTCTACAAGGGAAACTACAAAATACTGCTGAAAGAAATCATAGACAACACAAACAAATGGAAACACATCCCATGCTCACGTATTGGTAGAATCAATATTGTGAAAATGACCATATTGCCAAAAGCAATCTACAAAATCAATGCAATTCCCATAAAAATACTACCATCATTCTTCACAGAACTAGAGAAAACAATCCTAAAATTCATATGGAACCAAAAAAGAGCCCACAGAGCCAAAGCAAGACTAAGCAAAAAGAACAAATCTGGAGGCATCACATTACCTGATTTCAAACTATACTATAAGGCCATAGTCACCAAAACAGCATGGTACTAGTATAAGTACAGGCACATAGACCAATGGAACAGAATAGATAACCCAGAAATAAACCCAAATACTTACATCCAACTGATCTTTGACAAAGCAATAAAAACATAAAGTGGGGAAAGGACACTCTATTCAACAAGTGGTCCTGGGATAATTGGCTAGCCACATGTAAGAGAATGAAACTGGATCCTCATCTCTTACCTTATGCAAAAATCAACTCAAGATGGATCAAGTACTTAAGTCCAAGACCTGAAACTATAAAAATTCTAGAAGATAACATAAGAAAAACCCTTCTAGACATTGCCTTAGGTAAAGACTTCATGACCAAGAATCCCAAAGCAAATGAAACAAAAACAAAGATAAATGGGTGGAACTTAATTAAATTAAAGAGCTTGTGCACAGCAAAAGGAACAGTCAGCAGAGCAAACAGACAACCAACAGAGTGAGAGAAAAGCTTCACAATCTATGCATCAGACAAAAGACTAATATCCAGAATCTATAAGGAACTCAAACAAATTAGCAAGAAATAAACAAACAATTGAATCAAAAAGTGGCTAAGGACATGAATAGACAATTCTCAAAATAAGTTATACAAATGGCCTACAAACATGAAAAAATGCTCAACATCACTAATGATCAGGGAAATGCAAATCAAAACTACAATGTGACGCCACCTTAAACCCACAAGAGTGGCTACAACCAAAAAAAATAGAAATAAAAAGAAATGCTGGCATGGATGCAGTGAAAAGGGAACATTTCTACATTTCTACACTGTTGGTGGGAATGTAAACTAGTACAATCGCTATGGGAAACAGCTTGGAGATTCCTTAAAGAAATAAAAGTAGAACTCTACCATTTGATCCAGCAATCCCACTCCTGGATATCTACCTAAAAGAAAAGAAGTCATTAATTATAAGAAAAAGATATTTGCACATGCATGCTTACGGCAGCACAATTCCCAATTGCTAAAATATGGAACCAGCCAAACTGCCCATCAATCAAAGAGTGATTAAAGAAACTGGTATATAAATACAATGGAATACTACTCAGCCTTACAAAGGAATGAATTAATGGCATTTACAGCAACCTGGATGGGATTCAAGACTATTATTTTAAGTAAAGTAACACAGGAGTGGAAAACCAAACATTGTATGTCCTCACTCATAAGTGGGAGCTAAGCTATGAGGATGCAAAGGCATAAGAATGATAGAGTGGATTTTGGGCACTCGAGGGGAAAGGTTGGGAAGGGGGTGAGAAATAAAAGGCTACAAATTGAGTTTGGTGTGTATACTGCTTGGGTGATGGGTGCACCAAAATCTCACAAAACACCACTAAAGAATTTACTCATGTAACCAAATACCACTCGTTCCTCAAAAACCTATAGAAATAAAAAATTAAAAAAATAAACTGTTCTGTGATAAATTGAGGTACACTTTCCCAAATTTTACATGATTTCAAATCATTCTAACATTTTTTCTTCTACTCAGCACATCTATTTCTCATATAAGTGCCCACCTATATTGTCAGAGTACTCCAGAGAAATAGAAGAAATATAATGTGCATATTTACAGGAAGAGTTTTAAGGAACTGTTTCTCACTATTATGGAAGCTGGCAAGTACAAAATTTGTAAGGTGACCCAGGAAGAGATGATGCTACAGTTCAAGTCCAAAGACAGTCTGCTGGCAGAATAACCTCTTCGTGGAAGGATGGGAGGCCAGTCTTTGTTCTATTCAGGCCTTCGACTTATTGGTTGAGGCCCACCCACATTATGAAGGGCAATCTACATTACTCAAAGTCCAATTTAAATGTTAATATCGAAAAGCAGTTTTAGAAACATCCCAAATATGTTTGACCACACATCTGAGGACAGTGGCCCAGCCAAGTTGAAACATACAAATAACTATGATGAGTCTACCCCTTGTCAACTTGACAGCCATACACATATCCATAAACTGTACTTTATCTCCAAATAAAGAAAATAACAAGATTATATTTCCACTTAACATGATACAACTATTCTGTGCAAAGCAAAAAGTACAGTAACTCCTTCCCCAGAAGAGGATGTAAAGCCTCTGGGTGATTTTTTTTTTTTTTTTTTTTTTTTTTTTTGAGACGAGTCTCGCTCTGTCGCCCAGGCTGGAGTGCAGTGACATGATCTCGGCTCACTGCAAGCTCCGCCTCCCGGGTTCAAGCAATTCTCTTGCCTCAGCCTCCCTAGCAGCTAGGACTACAGGTGCCCGCCACCATGCCCGGCTAATTTTTGTATTTTTAGTAGAGACAGGGTTTCACCGTGTTAGCCAGGATGGTCTCGATCTCCTGACCTCGTGATTCACCTGCCTCGGCCTCCCAAAGTGCTGGGATTACAGGTGTGAGCCACCACGCCCAGCCGCACCCATTCTTATCAAAAAGTCTGAAAACCAAACTAGTAAGAATGCCATCAACAGATCCAGCTTTTATGATGGCATGTCTTAAGCAGCATTTGCATAAAGAAAGAGAAGAAATAAAAACAATTTATTCAGTGAAAACCATACATAAATTTCAAATTTAGAAAGATAATTGCTAATGAATATCTCTTTGCTTTTAAGCAAATCTAAAGAAAATGGGAGTTATGTTTTACATGTGTCTTTGAGAGTTTAGCAAGAAGAAAATTAATATTTAATAAGCTGTGTAGATTGGTTGCAGGTTTCTATGGTAGGACTAAAGCTCTTTAATGGATGGAATTGGTTCTGTCAATAAAAATGACAAGCTCTTCAATGACTTTCTCCACGTATACCATTGTTGAAAGCTAAGACAACCTAAGCCACCATTCTTCAAAGGATTTAAGTAAAATAGTCCCAGAAGGACATCTGGGTTGAAACTGGCAGTATTGAATGTCCCAGTCATATATTATGAAAAGTATACCCTACCCTGAAGTTTAATTTCACATTTGTTTCTCCTTGAGACTGAGAATAAAATAGAGAACATCAAGGACACTAGACATAAGAATAAACGTAATTTTTTAGAGAACTCTGAAAAGAGCCAATAGTATCAATAAAGTGATTTTAGAAACAATGGGCTTAAATACAAGAAGCACAAAGGTATCAGATCAATGTGGGCAACACATTTACATGAAAAATGATGTCTTAAATTAACATTCTACTTCTTAATCATAATTTTTATAGTAGTGATGAGTACAAATTATGTAACTTTTGCATTATAGTATTAACTTCAGGAATGGCAAAGACAATCTAACTCTCTGAAGTATCACTACGCAGAAATAATTTTGTTATTGCAAAAGTCAGGTGGTTATACAGTATTCTGGTGAAGACTAAATTCCCAAATTGTATAGAAAATTCTAGTTTAGTGTAGAGATGTTGAATAATAAACTTATACTTTTTTGCATTGTACAAAACATTTGAATGTAAGTTATTTCCCATTTATCCTCATAGGCATAATTAATCCCATTCTGCAGATAGAGAATTTATTTTTGTAAGGTTCATAGGTAAATCACACATCTTGTAAAATTAGCTTAGTTGAAATGAAAAAAAATGGTGGGTAATGGAAAATGGCTCACACATAAGGCCAGATACTTCATTATAATCCTAACCACTAGTTGACTAACTCAGAAAGTAAAGTGATTTAACTGTTCATATACGTATAGTCACTACTAGACTATATTGATTAAAATAATTTTAAAGTAAATATAATTGGTATAATTGATAATTAAAATACAATAACTAATGAGAAGGCAGGTTCTTCCTTATTTTTATTTCATCCACAAAACAAAAATAAATTACTATCAAATTTTAATAATGTTAATTCTAAATTGATTACAATTTTCCATGTGTATTTGTATAGAGATCTATACATAGTAGTATTTTATATTCAGTGGTACTAAGGAAAGTAAATTTTCATATTAGCTTTCATTCTTTTTAACAAAACAAAAGCAGTTACTATGATGATGATGTATTCTTAGGTGAGATTCCCTCCTAACCTCATTGCAAGTAATTCAATAGATGGCATTCTTTTATTTTTCAACCTGACATTTATCAAAATAACTTAAAATAATATAAGAATCTTAAAACAATGTATATTGTCACATATTTTACTTCTATGTTTTAAACTTCACAATTTATCCTGAGCATTTTGACTTATGAGACAATAATTCCTAAAGAAATTAAAAATTGAGAAAAATAGTTTATGTATATGCATATATTTACCACTTCTGCCACTCTTCATTTCTTTATTTAGATTCAAGTTTCCATCTGCCATTATTTTCCTAAAGTGAGAACAATTTTTTAGAATATTTCTTTCAGTTCAAGTTTGTTTGTAGTAAGTTCTCAAAGTTTTTGTTTTCTGAAAATAATTTTTTTCACCTTCATTTTTAAAGATATTTTCATTTGATATGAAATTCATGGTTGACAGTTTTTGTAAAATTCAGTACTTTAAAGATGTTATTCTATTATCTCCTGACTCATTGTTTCCGACAGTAAGGGAAATTTTAAAATTGTGTTTCTCTTTATGTAATGTGTATTTCCTGCCTTACTGCTTTTAAGTTGTTCACTTTATAACTGCTTTTTAGATATTTGATTATACCATGCCTTGATATAGTTCTCTTTGCATTGTGTGATGGTTAATACTGAACGTCAACTTGATTGGATCGAAGGATACAAAGTATTCTGGGTGTGCCTGTGAGGGTGATGGCAAAGGAGATTAACATTTGAGTCAGTGGGCTGGGGAAAGCAGATGCACTCAATCTGGTGGGCACCATCTAATCAGCCTCCAGCGAATATAAAGCAGGCAGAAAAAAACGTATAAAGGCAAGACCGACCAAGTCTCCCAACCTACACATTTCTCCCATGCTGGATGCTTTCTGTCCTTGAACATTGGACTCCAAGTTCTTCAGTTTTGAGACTCAGACTTGCTCTCCTTGCTCCTCAAGCTTGCAGACAGTCTATTGTGGGACCTTGTGACCATGTAAGTTATTACTTAATAAACTCCTGTGTGTGTGTGTGTGTGTGTGTGTGTGTGTGTGTGTGTGTGTGTATCCTATCAGTTCTGTCCCTCTAGAGAACCCTAATTCACATTGTGTTTGATTTTATTGAGTTTATGGATTTATTGTTTTATATTTTTCAACAAATAAAGACATTTTTCAGCCCTTGCTTGTAAATTTACTTTTATGCTTGTATCCTGTCTTTTTCTTCTGGGGCTCCACTTATATTTATGTTAGGCCACTTGACATTGTTTCATAGAGCAGTGAGGTGTTGTCAATTTTTCAGGCTTTTTCCTCTCTATTTGTTTCAGTTTGGATAACTGTATTGCCCAGCTTCAAAATTTATTATTAATTTTTTGGCTCTATCTAATCTGCTGTTTGTCCATTTAGCGGATTTTTTAAATTTTCAGATATTGTATTTTTCATGTCTGGAAGTTTCCTTTTGTTTTTTATATCTTCCTTTTTATTGATTTTTTTCAAGTTTTTTAAACCATTGAGCATATATTAAAAAGCTGTTTTAATGTCCATGACTACTGATTTTATTATCTTTTTCATTTCTGTTTCTGTTTCAATTGACTGACATTTCTGTGTTTTGGCATATCTAGCAATTTTTGATTCAATACTTGATATTATAAATATTACATTGTTCAGTATTTGAATTTTTCCTTTTATTAAAAAGTGAGGTTGTTTTGTTGGGAACTAAATTTAGCTGTGGATCAACATATTAATTTCAAGACTTGTATCAAGTTTTGTTATAGTAGGTCTAGAATCATCTAAAATAACACTTTAATCTAGTGTTAGTTTAGCTCTACCTAAGTCCTGAGAACTTTACTGGGTCTTTACCAAATATTTAGTTTTCAATAATGATTGTCTCTCTGTCTGGTCAGAACTTAATTGTTTTCCAACATTGTAACAGATATGATAATTCTTAAGTTTACAAATCTCCCATATTTGTACCTTGCTCGGTTTTGTTAAGTTTAAACTTATGAAAGCATAGTTTAGTGTTGAATGCATGGGCTCCTTTTTTGTGCACTGTGGTTGGGAAAGTACTACACAACATAAAGCTGAATACATCACTAGCTACCTCTTCTTAGTCTTGGATATTTCTTTACTTCCTTCTATAAATGCTGTTATTCTTAAGGACTCAGTTTTAAAATTTTTATCTTATCTTTATTTATTCTCCAGGTGGTCCCATTGAAATCCATTAATGATAGATACTTTATATATCATATATACTTCTATATCTATGCTTCATTCCATATCTTTGTGCTGAGCTCCAGATGCATGAGTCAAACAGCCTGTTCAAAGCTTTACCTGAATTTCTATTAAAAAAAAATAATCGCAGTTGGCATGCTCCCAGTACATCTTGATTTAACCTCTCTAGCTTCCTCCCTTTTCTGTACTCTGCTTTACAGTAAATGGTACCCTCATTCACCCCAGTGGTCAGGACAGAAGCCTTATGAGTGATCCTTATATTGTCTCAGTTTTTATACACTCCATCTTTACTTTTTCAGAAAATGCTTTTGACAACTCCTTGAAATATATTCTTAATCTGATATTTTATTCATCTGTGGCCACCATCATAGTCCAGACTAGTATCATTTCTGGCCAACACTACTAAAATAATTTCCTAAATAGAATAACTACTTCCAATCTGTTCCCATTTATCTGTGTACCACATGACAGACTCAATGATTATACTAAAATGAAGTGATATCATGTCATTCTCCTATTTCTTAACTCACCACTGGTTTGCCATCACATTGGGGATATAAATAAAAGACTTTCTGAACATTCTGTAATAATTGGCCCTTGACTACCACTTGAAATTTATATCTTATCATCTGCTTGTTCAAACTGACCTGTTTCACGCTGGCTTTTAAAATATTCCCAATACATGCCAATTGTACTGCCATCTTAAGACCTTTGTGGTTATTTTATTTGGCTAAAACAAATGTCACCTAGACAAGGTGTGAATTAGTCATTTGGGTATTAAAACGCATGCCAAAAAATGATAAAATTCCTGAAAAATTGCTCTCTTAAATGAAATCCATAATGCAGGCTGTTTCTTCCCCTCCTTTTCCATTTATTAGACCTGTTTTATTTTTGTATGTAGTACTTAACAGGACATGAAATTATACCGTGAATTTATATCTTTTTTCTTTATTTTTTATTTCTCATAGTAGAATAGACACTTTTGAAAGCAGCAACTGTATGTTTCTGCTTCAATTCTTTATTCAAAGTGCGTAGACTTTTGACTGGCATATAGTAATACTCGGTTAATATTGGCTGAATAAATGCATGAAGGTATGGGTGAATAGATAGAGTAACATATTATGCCTAACAGACTGAGAAGTGTGGACTCTGTTCCTCATATTAGAGGCACATTTTGTGGGTGGGATATAATCTATATACATTCTACCTGTAGCTGGGGGAGGATTGATGTAAACACCCCTGTGGCCACCATCATTGAGATGGCAGAGGGTTAGACCTGAAGCTATTACAGCACTGGGTCCTGCTCAAGGTCCACAGTAACCACTGTCTGGCTACCACCTATATTCTCTCAAGGCCCTAGGACTCTACAGTCAGCAGGCAGTGAAGCCAGAAAGGCTTGTATTCTTCCATTTAGGCTGATGAGTTCCTCCAGGTCCTGGGCAGGTCCACTGGTGCTGTCTAAGAGCCAGGGCCTGGAGTCAAAAACCTTACTGCTCTATTTTATCGTAGCTGAGCTGTCACTGAAGCCACAAGGCAAAGTCCTTTTCATTCTTTCCTCCCATTTCCACAAGTAGAAGAGTCTCTATTTAGGGCCACCACTGTCCAAGGCCCACTGTGAATACTGCCTGGCTATTGCCAATGTTCATTTAAGGCCCAGGGGCTCCTTAATCAGCTTGAGGTGAATGCTTCCAGGCCTAGGACCCTCCTTTCAGGGAAGTGGCCTCCTCTCTGGCTCAGGGCAGGTGCAGAAATGCCAAGGCCTGGAACTGGGGACCCCAGAAGCCTGCTTTGTACTCTAACCCCACCATAGCTGAGCTGGTGCCTAAGCTAATTTTTGCTACTTATCAATGTGTATCATTGTATGGATAGTTCAATGTGGTGTTCCTGTGAGGAGGATGATTAGTGGAGGCTTCTATTTGGACATGTTGCTTCACCTCACTTCTATTTCTTAGAATTTTAAGGTGACTTTCTACAAGACCAAGTCATTACTTGTGTATTGTATTATCCAAGTGTTTTAGGTATTCTTAACTGCCTCCTGTAGGTAGTGAAATTCAGTGTTAGTAATTTTTTAAATTTCATAAAAAATAGTCCTCACAGCACCAGCTTTCTATGGCTGATTCATCCAAAAACAGTTTGAAGTTTGTTTGACAGTGATCAAAGGCACATATTCTGTGGATCTAATGTACTTAAGATTTCATATCATCTGCAGAAAATATCACATGTACCTGTCTTGACTCATGAGGTAGGATGGTAGTTAAAATCCCTAATATTCTCTGATTGATCAATCAGCTACCTGGTGGCAGGCTGATTATACTAGACAGTCTCCATTTTGGAAGGGCAACATTTTGTTCTTACTAGAATAGACATTTTCTTTAAATACAGATTTGCCTTCCTTATATGCAATGCTCTTTCTGAAACTAGTATCTGTGGACTGCAGAATACCTCATTAATTGTCCCAGTATTTCACACAATATTGCTAATAAATATAATTTATTTTGCTAGTTTCTTTACATTGATTCTTAAAAGTACTGGTGTGCATTCAATATACATCTACTGAATACATTCTGTGTTTCAGTGGTATATGAGAAGTTATAAATAAGTATCGGAGTCATAAGTATAAAACTAGTCTGTGGCTTCTTGCACAAAGCACATGTACATATATGACATTATGTAACTCATATAACATATATACCACCTTCAAAAGTATGGTAGAATCAATAAGTGATATGAAAATTCAGATGATTTATAGGGACATGAATAATCAGATACATTAACTTGAGGAATTTGAATTAATAATGTATCTTGGGTTTTTTATTTAATGAAGTTGTAATGTCACATTTTTTTAAGATAATGGTAAACCAAGATCACTCTTTTAATTGTAACTCTTTTAATTGCTCTAAATATATTGACTGAACCTCTTCAAAGCCACTTAGGTAGATTTATTAAATACATACTTATGTGAAGTGAGTTTGGGTAAGCAATGAAGAGTTGGATCAGTCTGAGGATTGTGGTACTAAGAATCTAGGTGTTATGAAGGTCACATTAAGCTTATTAGGATATAGGGTCCACTTTAGGAGTCAAAAATTATAGGCCTGGCATAGGGAAATGAGTGTGAAATTAGTTTTCAGTGCCCATGAT
Organism: Homo sapiens; assembly: GCF_000001405.40. NCBI lineage: Eukaryota > Metazoa > Chordata > Mammalia > Primates > Hominidae > Homo > Homo sapiens. Next base: position 83,411,976 of record NC_000002.12, read on the forward strand.
TAGTTTATAAAACAGGAGGACACATGAATAGCATTTATAAGAGTCTAGCCATGAAGGAGGCTAGGGGACATATCACAGTGGTATTCAGAGCCAAAATCTAATTAGAGAAAGTAAAGTTCATAAGGGAGAAACAATCAAAACAACGAGCTCTGTAACGAGCATTGGGGCAGATGGGCAAGTTATACATTATAGGGCAGGGAAATTTGTTCTTTGGATAAGTCATCATAAATTTGAAACATTTATTATCTCCATGTGCCTGGACTGGATGGGCATTGGATAACATGATCAAGTGCCAAGGTTATAACTAGCTAAATTTTGTAACTGAATAGGATAAGAAGAAAGAATAAAAACTGGCTTGGCAATGAGAAGAAGTTAACAGACTTTTCAAATAAAGCTACCTGGAGGGTTGTGGAGCTGATTTGCTGATATGCTTGGAGATTAATTATGAAGATCTACACTATAAATCAGAAGAGAGGTTTGGAAGTTTGGCAGGATTTACAAGTCAGTTACGTAGTGTCTAATATGCAGAATGCATAATGCATTGGAGAGCTCCTAGAGGTGATCCATGAACACAAAACTTACCTGTTCCTATAGCAACTCAGTGGAATTAATAAGGATGTTCAGAGAGGGATGGCTTCTCTGACCATGTGTTCTCCACATGAAGATGAAACAGAATACTAACAATTTTAGAAGTTTTAGAATTTGCATAATTATTTTCTTATAAAATATGTGTCATAATTTATCTGCTTTCAAATTTATCCTTCTCTAGCCATTTCTGAGAATGCCTGTAATTTGGGCAAGGCATCTATTCAGTAAGTTGTGTGTTCTGCTTGAAGGATGAATAAATATTCATAATAAGTGAAGTGGTATGTCATCTAGCCTACACAACAATTCAAATATTTGGTGAAAAGCACAAATTTGACACAAAGATGAAATTTGTGGCCATTCTGTCCTCACATTTCACACCAGGGTATAATTCATCTTTTATCTACAAACTAGAAACTGAATTGGTTAGAAAGGTTCCAGATGCCCTAGAGTGACATGAAAAATTTATATGTAATCTTGGCACCCATTTTCTTTTTTTTTAAGACAGAGTCTTGCTCTGTCGCCCAGGCTGGAGTACAGTGGCTCACAGCAACCTCTGCCTCCCGGGTTCACGCCATTCTCCTGCCTCAGCCTCCCAAGTAGCTGGGACTAAATTATATTCCTATTTACATCAGATTAAGTTTCAAGATTTTATTTTAAATTATTAAATAAGGGCTTAAAATATTCCAATTATTTCAATTTAAGAAGCAAAATATGTGCAACACTTCTAAAGTTCAGGTAAATTCTTCAAATTAACTCAATCACCAATAATATAAATTCATAAATATGACCTAGTATTTGCTATGTAAGTTCTGCTTTTGAGTTTCTGTGTAGTTATATTGCTCTTTTGGAAAATATTCATGTGATTAAAATGTTAATGAGATTAAAGCATTCTTTTGAAGTGTATTTATTTTTTTCTCTAGCCTAGACATTTATTTTGAATATTGATTGTTTCTATGCTGAGGTCTGGTGATAAGTCAATATAAAAGTTAAAATATAGTTAAATAAATAGGTATAAAATTTATTTAAATATACTTTTTAAACTATAATTTGCATATATGTATGCAAATATATACGATCAAATAATCTACAAGTATAATAAACATTCACAATTCTATAAGAACACATGAAAAATGTGATTACTTTTTGTAAATGAATCAAGTAAGTTCAGACAGATGCTATGAGTTTTGAATAATGAATAGAAATCTTCCGGAAGTAGAATCATTTCAGAATGGACTTTAAAGCAGAGGAAAGAGCACATGAAAAGCATGGAATCATGAAAGGACATGACATTTCAGGGAATGGTGAAAACTCTCTCGTATCACTGAACATTTAACAAGTAGGAAATACAGGTGGGCAATGAAATTGGAGTCAAATTGTGAAGCAACTTGAATGTTGAAGCAATGAGTTCACTCATCAACTCTTATCCTTAGGTAGTCAACTATGGTTTAAATAGGTATTATGATTCTTAGATTGGTTTTATTTGCATAGTATATATGTGTGTGGTGCATATATGTGTTTGAATTTGTATGTATTTAACAGTTTTTTCTGAAGGTTTGAGCAAAATAATTATAGAAGACTAAATGTAGTGAAAAATGTAATTGTTATGGAAAAAGAGATGAGAATATTGGGCTTAGCCTTAGAATTAGGGAAGTTTCTTATTTATATAATTCATTCAGAATTATTCTATTTCTCACACCTGGGTTACTGGTTCAGGTAACTCATGATTTTAAAATTGTCATGGAATTCTCATTCATTAAAATGATGCATTTATGAATTGTCCCCTAATCTAATTAATGTCATTAGGCCTGAGATAAGAATTACTGTGGACATCTCAAAATAATAGTTCTTTACTCTTCTGAGAGAACTATCAGAAGCTTTCTTTTTTGCACTATTTGTGATTTCTTTTTTGCACTATTTGGTGTTCATGTATAAAATTGAGAACTTCAGAAACTATTTTTTTTCAGCATGAGAGAAGTCAGACTTAGCAGGATCTGATACCACAAAAATTAGATTGAAGAGAAATAGAATTCTGATGACACAGTAGAGTGAGTAAATAAATCAACTTAGAAGTACATAAAAATTTTGATTTTATATTACATACAATAGTATGCAATATTACATACAATAGTTCCAAAAAGAGGTTTAATACATTCCTTCGTGTAATTGCAAATTCGAAGCACTTGGGTAGATTTTCTCTTTGAAAACAAAAAATCAATTCTCCTTTTTGAACCCATTCATAATTGTCATGTGAACTTGGTAGTTGTAGATGAAAACAGGTAAATGATCTATTTGCAATTGCTGAAAAACATTTAAGGGCAAAAAATACAACTGAAAAACTGCTTTAAACACTTCTTAAATGAGAAAGAATAGAAGTAAGGAAAATTTGTGGACTGTAACTATCATACTTCAAAAACACACTTTCATGGGATCTACTTAAGAACAGATGAATTCTACAACTGGTTGACTGTATTCTGCAAAAAATTGATGGTGAATAATGAAAGCCTTAAATACCAATTACAGGTCATTGAAGAGGTCTCTAAAAAGTTCAATTGCCTAAACATATTTCCTGGCATTTTGCCACAATTACTATTAATAATAGATAAGGGTTCAGCTTCACGATGACTGACTAAAAGCAGCTTATGGACAAGCATCAAAATAGTGAGTAAATATTAACACTTTGAGAAGTGCATCTAAGAGAGCACACTGGCATTCATCAAGAAATGACTGGATTCGCAGAGAGTACAGTTGACTAAAGCCAGGCAGCCTGCTGAGCTGGGACCTGTGTGGAGCCCAAAGAGGCTCCCTGATGCAGAAAAGGGGTGAGTGAGCAAGAAACACTCGAGACTCCACACCTCTGCCATGGACTTTTACATTCCTAGCTACTGAGAGTCCACTTGGTCCACACCCCCACACCCTCCAAACCAGACTAACAAAGGGAGCTGCTTGTACACTGTTCAGAGGTACTGCTTGAGCCCATGTGGAGTCCCACTGGGTTTTGATCCTTGATTAGCCCGACCCCAACTGCCACTGCCCCAACACTTTGGGGCACTTTTACATGCCCCAAAGACAGGTACTGCAGCCATGGCACAGAGGAATGGGCAGACTGCCCACCACATGACTGCCTGCCTCTGCTGCTCCCCATTAAGCAGTGCCTGCCTTCTTCAGCACCAGGTTCACAGCGTATCTGCCCTGCCCAAGCATGAGCAATATGGATGTGGCCAGTGTTTTTTTTTCCTTTCTTTCTTTTTCTTTTTTTTTTTAGATGGAGTTTCGCTCTGTCAGCCAGGCTGGAGAGCAGTGGTATGATCTCAGGTCATGCAACCTCCACCTCTTGGGTTCAAGAGATTATCTAGCCTCAGCCTCCCGAGTAGCTGGGATTACAGGCATGCACCACCATGTCCAGCTAATTTTTTTTTTTTTTTTTGTATTTTTAGTAGAGATGGGGTTTCACCATGTTGACCTGGCTAGTCTCAAACTCTTGACCTCAGGTGATCCGCCCGCCTTGGCTTCTCAAAGTGCTGGGATTACATGTGGCCAGCGCTTTTCTGAGAGCCTAAACTCTATAGGCCAGTGACCTGACCTTTGTCTCCCATAGCAATTGCCACCACCAGTGCTTCCACCAACTCTGTTGCTGCTAGGCCAAGAAGGGAGCAGGGAAACCTGGCACCTATGTGTGCACCAACAGCAAAATCCACCACTGCTTCTGTGGGTGGGAAGTAGGCCATGCACCCAAAGCTGCCATTCTCTATTGCTCTAGCTGAGAGGTGCCGACCCTCAACAGTGACAGGCTTGCAATAGTAGCTTCCCTGCCCTTATTTGAGCACTTTGGCTGTGATCTGGCATTGTTCTGGGAGTCCAACCCCCAGTAGCTGGTGATCTGCCCACTGGCTCCTGAAGAAGTTGCTCTCACTGCTTTAGCTCTTGCTGCTGCCAGGGCAGGGAGGGAGCAGGGAAACTTGGCACCTTAGCACAACCCAAGGAAGAACACTGCTGCTGCCCCTATGAGAGGAATGTGTGAGCAGGCCATGTCCCCTACAGCTGCCTGCCTCTGCTTCTGCCAGTGAGGGGGCTCACTTTTTCCAGTAAAAGTCCGCAGAACAGTCACCCTGCTCCTGCTGAACCATTTCAGCTACAGCTTAGAGCCCTTCTGAAAGCCAAGGCCCTGCAATCCTGTGATCTTCCACGGTGCTTCCACTGCCCAAGTGTTCTGCTGCCACCTGAGCATTCTGAGCATTCTGCCTGCCCTCACATAAGAGTTTTGCTGGTAACCTGGGACCCAGCCTGACATTCTTTATCACGGCACCTGAAGAACAAGTCCACACACCCAGTCCTGGTCCAGTCCCTCCACGAATCATAAATGCTATCTACTGGGCCCTTGAGGGCCCTGGGGATTATTTGGCAATTAAAGGATTGCCTAGTCCCATCCACCACTGTTGGCACTGACCACTCCCCATGTGATCTGATACCCATGTGCATGTGCCAAAAGGTAGAACACCTCTCTCATCTATTTGAAGCATCAGCATTCCACACTAGAGAACGGGTGAACCACAAAGCTCCCTGTATTGGGCTGAGTGAAGAGGTTCTTCTCCAAAACCACTCCCATGAAGAACCATGGGACAGGCAGTTTACATGGCTCTCAGTTACACTGTGGCCTGGAGATAGATTATAGTGTGTGTCTGAACTGAGTGTCACAAGCCTCAGGACAGGGGTGTGACAGGGAAACATTTCCTTTTGCTTGTGTAGAACATGGAGTAGATGCAGCTTCCTCACCACCCTACAGAGACGTTGGTGCATTTCATCAGTAGCTTCCCCAGCCATTTCCATCAGGGCTAGTACCTATGTCCATCATCAGGATATTTGTAGACAAGCCAGGTAATACAGTTGTGCCTAGCTTTGTCCTCCCACAGTAAATAGAAAACTCAGAGTACCAGGCATTCCATTGTCTGGCCCATTACCTGAAACAACAGAGAGAACCTCACGGTAAACAAAGATAAAGTACATACCCATCATCTTTTGCCACAGGCAGTTTTATGCATAGACACCAACTACTGGCCTGGAGGTTGAACTGCAAAACCTAATAAAAAACTGCCAACAGAAGTGCACAGGGCTATAGCAGAAAAGTCAAGAGTCCCTGCCCAACATATTCAACAGGCACACACTCAATGAAGGGAAAAATTCTATCTAAATGAAAGTAAATTAAAAAACCAAGAAGTGTTAGATCCAACAGATGAGAAAAAACCAACATAAGAACTCTGGCACCATTAAAAAAACTGAATGTTGTGACACCACCAAAGGGGCAAACAGGCTCTGTAGCAATGGACTCTAGCCAAAATAAAAATTCTAAACTAACAGATAAAGAGTTCAAAGTATAGACTGTAAGAAAATTCAATGCAATCCAAGAGAAATTTGATAACTAACACAAAAGGACTAGAAAGGCAATATAGGATATAAAAGGAGAGATAGATATATTTAAAAGAAAGCAAATAAACAGAACTTCTAGAAATAAAAAATTCACTAAAGAAATGTCAAAATACATTGAAAGCTTTAAAAATAGACTAGAGCAAGCAGAAGAAAGAATTTCAAAGCTTGAAGATAGGACTTTTGAATTAATCCAATCAGACAGAAATAAGAACAAAAGAATTCAAAGAAAATGAACAAAGCCTTCAAGAAATTTAAAATTATGTGAAATGACCAATCTATGACTTATAGGCATTCCTGTAAAAGATTTTTTAAAAAGTAAGGAATTGGAAACATATTTGAGGAAACAATTCAATAACATTTTCCTGATCTTTCTAGAGATATAGACATACACATGCAATAAGTTTATAGAACATGAAAAGGTTCTCTACAAGGTAAACATCACCAAGGTATATAGTTATCAGATTATTAAAGATCAACATGAAAGAATAAATTTTAAAAGCAGCTAGAGGGAAGTGTCAAATTATGTATAAAGGAACTAGGAAATACTGTCAGACTAATGGCAGAAGTCTTAGCAAAAATATTACAACCCAGAAGAAATTGAGGGCCCATTTTTAGCATTCTTATAGAAGAAAATATGCCAGCCAAGAATTTTGTATCCTTCCAAACTAAGCTTTATAAATGTAGGAGAAACAAAGTCTTTCCCAGACAAGCAAATGCTAAAGGAATTTGTCACCACTAGACTGGCCTACAAGAAATGCTCAAAGGAGTTCTAAACATGAAAATCAAAGGATAACACTTGCCATCATAAAAGCACACACAAATACTAAGCATATACATGCTATAAAGCAATTACACAACTGAGACTCCAAGGCAAATAGCTAACAATACTATGACAGGAACAAAACCTCACATATCAACATCAACCATAGATGTAAATGGCCTAAATGTTTCACTTAAAACATATCAACTGGAAAATTGGATTTACTAAACAAGTTTGAACCATCAATTGCCTAAAAGAGATCCACCTAATGGCTAAATAAATCTACAGACTCAAAGTAATGGGGTGGAAAAAGATAGATAGATTATAGAAATGGAAAACAATAGCAACCAGAATTAGCTATTCTTATCTGTGATAAAGTTTCAACAAACAACAATGAAAAAAGACAAAGATAGACATTATATAATGATAAAGGGCTCAATAATATATGAAGATTTCACTATCCTAAATTTATATACACCCAGTACCACAGCAAATACTACTAGGCCTGATAAAACAGATTGACAGCAATATAATAATACTGGGAAACTTCAATACACCACTGACAACACTAGATAAAATATGAAGGCAGAAAATCTACAAAGATACTCTGGACTGAAACTGGACTCTAGACCAAGTAGACCTGACAGAGATTTGGAGAAAATTTTACTCAACAACTGCAGAATATATCTTTTTCTTATCTGTATATGGAACATTCTCCAAAATTCATGATATGCTTGACCATAAAGCAAGTCTCAATGATTCAAAAAATAAATTTATACCAAGTATTTTCTCAGACCACAGTTGAATAAAATTAGAAATCAATAATAAGAAACTCTCAAAACTACAGCGGTACATGTAAACTAAACAACTTACTTCTCAGTGACTTTTGGGTAAACAATGAAATTAAGGCAAAAATTTTAAAAATTTTGAAATAAATAAAAATAGTGACAAAACATACCAAAACTTTTGGAATATAGCAAAAGCAGTGCTAAGAGGAAAGTTTACAACATTAAATGCCTACATCAAAAAGATAAGATCTCAAATTAATAACCTCATGTTGCACCTCAAGGAACTAGAAAAGCAAACAAAAAAGCAAACCCAAAGCTAGCAGAAGAAAAGAAATAACAAATATCAGAGCAGAACTCAATGAGATTGAAAGAAAAAATACCAAGGATCAATAAATGGAAAAGTGGATTATTTGAAAAAATAACAGTGATAGTCCCCTAGCTAGCTTAACCAAAACAGAGAGAGATTCAAATAAGCCCAATTAGAAATGAAAAAGGTGACATTACAACTGATACCACAGAAATACAAAAGACCATCACAGGCTACTATGAACACCTCTATATGCTAATACTAGAAAATCTAGAGGAAATTGATAAATTACTGGAAACATTCAACCTCCAAAGTTTGCACCATAAAAAATAGAAATCCTGAAAAGACCAATAGCAAGTAGTGAAATTTAATCAGTAATAAAAAATATTCCAACAACAGCAAAAACCCCAGGATTGGATGGATTCATGGCCACATTTTCCAGATGTGCAAAGATGAGCTGGCACTAATCTTACTGAAACTACTCCAAAATTTCTAGGAGGAGGGAGGGATTTATCCCTAACTCCTTCTGTGAAATCAATATTACCTTAATACAAAAATCAGGAAAGGATACAACAAAAAAAGAGAACTATAGGTCAATATCCCTGGTGAACACAGATGCAAATATTCTCAAGAAAATACTAGTAAACCAAATCCAACAGCACATCAAAAACATAATTTATCATGATCAAGTGGGTTTTATTCTAGGGATGCAAGGATGAATCAACATAGACAAATCAATAAATGTGATTCACCCCATAAACAGAATTAAAAACAAAAACCATATTATCATCTCAATAGACGCAGAAAATGCATTCGATAAAATCCAACATTCCTTCAGGATAGAAATCCTCAATAAATTAGAAATTGAAGGAACACATCTCAATATAATAAGTGCCATATATGATGAACCCTCAGCCAACAAGATACTAAAGAGGAAAAGGTTGACATCATTCAACCTAAGAATGGAAACAAGACAAGGATGTCCACTCTTACAACTCTTATTTAACATAGTACTAGAAGTCTTAGCCAGATCAATTGGCCAAGAGAAACAAAAGCATCTAAATTGAAAAAGAGGAAGTCAAAATTTTTCTGTTTGGGGATGACATGACCTTATACCTAGAAAACCCTGAAGACTCCTTCAAAAGACACCTGGACTTTGTAAACAACTTCATGAAAGTCTCAGGATACAAAACTAACATATGAAAATCAGTAGTATTACTGTATTTCTAAAATGTTCAAGTTGAGAATCAAATAAAGAACTCAATGCCATTTACAGTAGCTACAAAAAATAAAACCTAGGAATACCTTTAACCAAGGAAGTGAAAGATCCTTATAAGAGCAACAAAACACTGATGGATGACATCATAAGTGACACAAACAAATGGAAAACATTTCATGCTTATGAATTGGAAGAATCAATATTACTGAACTGACCATAATGCCCAAAGCAATCTATAGAGTGAATAGAGTTCCTATGAAATTACCAATGTCATTTTTCGGATAACTAGAAAACAAAATCCTAAAGTTTATATGGAACCAAAAAAGAGCCCAAAAAGCAAAAGCAATGCTAAGCAAAACAAAAACAAAAACAAACAAACAACAACAACAACAACAAACCAGAGATAGGACATTGCTTGACTTTAAATTATACTATATGATTATTGTAACCAAAGAGTGTGGTACTGGTACAAATATAGACACGTTAATCAATGGAACAGAATAGAGAACCCGGAAATAAAGCTACAGACCTACAACCAATTGATCTTCAACAAAGTCAGTGCGAAAATGAACAATGGGGAAAGGACAACTTATTCAATAAATTGTGGGAGGAATATTGGATAGCCGTATGCAGAAGAATAAAACTAGATCTCTATCTCTTACTATATGCAAAAATTCACTCAAAATGGATTAAAAAATTAAATATGAGACCTGAAACTATAAAAATTCTAGAAGAAAACCTAAGAAAAACTCTTCTTGACATTGGGGTAGGCAAAGAATGTACTATTAAACCCACAAAAGCAAATAAAACAAAAACAACAAAACCAAATAGGACTTAATAAATTAATGATCTTCTGCACAGCAAACAAACAAACAAACAAACAAACAAAAAAACTATCCACAAATTACACAGACAACCTAGAGAATGGGAGGAAATATTTGCAAGTTATGCTTCTGACAAATGAGCAATTTCTAGAATCTACAAGGAACTCAAACTGCTCAACCAGAAAAATTCCAACACCACCATTAAAAAGTGGGCAAAGAACACAGATATTTCTCAAAAGAAGATATACAAGCAACCCACAAGCATATGAAAAATTACTCAACATCACTATTTATAAGACAAATGAAAATTTAAATCACAATCACAGAGCAGTCAAATGGCTACTAAAAAGTCAAAAAACAATCAATGTTGGCTTGGATGTAAAGAAAAGGGAATACATATACACTGTTGGTGGAAATGTATATTAGTACAACGTTTATGGAAACCATATGGATATTTCTCACATTTAGTTCTCAAAGAACTAAAAATAGAATTACCATTCAACCTAGTAATCTCCCTGTGGGATATCTAGCCAATGGAAAAAAAATCATTATCTAAAAGACACCTGCACTCATATGTTTATCGTAGCACTATCCACAATAGCAATGTCATCGAATTTCTGGAAGTGGAATCAATCTAAATGTCCATCAACTGTTGATTGCATAAAGAAAATGTGGTACATATACACCATGGAAAGCTATGCAGCCATAAAAAAGAATGAAAACTGGTCCTTTGCAGCAACACTGATAGAGCTGGAGGCTATTATCCTAAGTGAATTAACTAAGAAACAGAAAATCAATACCAAATGTTTTCAGTTATAAGTGGGAGCTAACAATGGGTACACATGGATATAAAGAAGGAAATAATAGATGCTGGGTACTCCAAGAAAGAGCAGGGTAAAACGAGAGTGAAGGTTGAAAAATTACCTGCTGGGTACAATGTTCATTATTTGAGTGATGCATGCACTAAAAGCTCAAACCTCATCGTTTTGCAATATATTCATGTGACCAATTTGCACATGCATCCTCAAATCTAAAATAAAATAAGTACTTTTTATCATGCTTTATGGATGATAAGGGTGTTTATTAAAGAGCAGTATGGCAAAACTAAAGCTTACTTCATTGGAATCTACATCTAATCAAGAAGATGCAACAGTGCCTGGCATGGTCTAGCTTGTTATTCTTCAATTAAGAACTGAGGGAAAACATTTAGAAGTATGTGAACAGACTGAGGGACATTGGCAGTTCATGGAGAAAAATTTGAAAGTTACTGTTGATCCTCTTTTAAGTTATTGACTCGTTTGATCTCTATTCACTGATAACCAAGGCTATCTACATAATTGGTAGGAAACAATGCAAATGAAACAGATTCCTTGTTCTAAAAGCAGAAAGAATGATTTCATTAAAAGTACTAAAATATCATACATTTTTCTTTCTTCTAAACACACAGAAGATAGGTCTCTCTATTGACCTATCTTGTGTGTGTTTGTGTTTTTTATTTACTGTTCAATGGCATTCTAAGAAAATGCAAAATATAAACAAATTACTGAAATTCACAGTTCATCTTTTATGTGCAATGTCAGTTTCAAATGTAAATATAAAAGCATTTAACTCACATGGAGATTTACCATAATTATTATATTTCACATAAAATTCATTATTCTTGAGCTTGGATACTGAAACGTGTACAAACTGACTCAATTGTTATTTTATTTCTTGATGTACTCATGTCCTACCAATCCTCTCTACTTTCAGCTTGTTGATGAGTAAGGAAGGACTAAAAGAAAAAGGAAATATGGATTGCACTATCTTTCCATTTTCTTTTGTCATCATTCCCTTTTAAAATGGTTGGCTAATATAGGAAATTAGCACAAGTTCAAGAGAAGCTATGACAGATTTCCTTGATAATTCGTATATCTTAGAATGTCAGTACCTTCTTTTTGTGTTTGAATAAGTTCCAATTTGAAAGGAAAACGTGCTCCTTTAATGCTGTCAGCAAACCTGCTTACCAAGTTGTAGATAGAACATGCTTATCGTGTATTTCCTTTGAGTCTGACTGAACTTCCATGTATTATGGGTCCCATTATTGGAACTCTCTCATAGTGCATCACAAATCCACTGTACCTTGCTTTTTTTCCCTCATCATTTTGCTTTTGTGACTTACGTTTATAGATAGCTAGGGGATTATGAGATCACCAATTTTGAGTGTTATGCAGAATTCTACTACATTAACATATCACAGTACAGATCCATTACTATATTGATAATCTTGATAATAAATTTGTTTTATATCTTTAGTTTGCTACTGGTAACAATGCTGCAATAAATGACTTTAAGCACATTTCCCCATAGTTTTCATAGATTAATTATAGTAGAAGTGGAATTGACAGGTCAGATGCAGGTATACATTCAATTTAAATGTATATTGATTAATGGCTTTTCAAATTGTAGTTTATATTTGAGTCAGAAGAATATGAGAGTTTCCATTTATCATTCCTACCAAAATATTTATATATCAAATTTTTAATGTTTTGGATTGATCTAACAATATTTCATGGTAATATAGTTTGATACACAATTCTCTACTTTTTAGTTAGTCTGGACACTTCTTGATGTATTTATTGGTCATCCATTTCTTTGAAGGCTCTTAATATCAGTTATACAGTTTCCTTTTGAGTTATTTTTTATTGATGATTTATAGGAAATATATATATATATATTTTCTGGTTACTAATCCTTTGTCAGTTTTGTGTATTGTACATATTTTAAATCCCTCATCTTATATTTAATTTTTGTTTACACAATTATTCTGCCAAGAGTTTGATTATTGATAATGTAGTCAAATTTTCATGCTTTTAAAAATATTTTATAAAGCTGAAGCTTTTAAAATAAATCTGTTCTCTAAACTGATGTCATCTTGGTAGTCTATGGTTTTCTCCTAAAGATCGAAAGCCAGATTTGGCAAACTTTCTGTGAAGAGCCACATAGCATTTTTCACTTTACTTTTTATGATTTAGGTATTCTTATTAAATATTTATGTTAAATTGGTTGTATTTTAGATATGCCTGTTAAAGAGTTACTTGTATTTCTTACCCAGTGTAAAAAGTCAATAGCTTTTATCAAGTAAATGTAATCAAATAAGTCATTTTGTGTTTGGAAACAACTCTATTTTAGATGGTGTGTTCAATTTAAAATATATTTATTTGTATATTTATTTTACCTTTCTTAACTTTTCTTAGTTAGATGTAGTTTTCTAAATTCTCTTGTTTGGCCTTCCTCACCTTGTTATATTTTTATATACATTTTATATTTTAAAAGGCATACCTGGGGCTGGGCACGGTGGCTCACACCTATAATCCTAGCACTTTGGGAGGCCGAGGCGGGTGGATTGCCTGAGCTCAGGAGTTTGAGACCAGCCTGGGCAACAAGGTGAAACCCCATCTCTACTAAAATACACACAAAAAAAATTAGCCGGGCATGGTGGCGTGTGCCTGTAATCCCAGCTGTTCGGGAAGCTGAGAAAGGAGAATCACTTGAACCACGGAGGTGGACATTGCAGTGAGCCGAGATCACGTCATCGCACTCCAGCCTGGGAGACAAAATTAGGAACTGTATGCTGCTACAGAAGAATGTATGAGTCTTATCAACTCCCCCAGTATCTTCCACATTCTCTTCTCTAGTATTACTATTTTATATTATTTGAATTTCCCCTTTAGTCATTAACTTTTTTGCAATTGTCATTCTTACACTTACTAACACATTTACTTACTTCTTATTTTAGCATTACCTTCTATATCCCATTTTATCTATATTTCATAAGTCTATATTCAAAAAACTTCCTACTGAAATCCAGGCCGTAATAATTTTTTAACTTGAAAACTTGGTTACTAGAATTCTCACTGTTTATTTTAAATTTAAATTACTCTAATTAATTCCCACATTGAAGATGCTCCTTATTCGCATCTATTTTGTTGATAATACATCTGCTATCCCTATAAATTTCAACCTAAGTAATCTTTCTCTATCTTGCTAATTAGATTTTCCCTTTTGTCTCTGACACACATCTCTGATGTCACAAAATTTTCTATAATCTGCCCAGATAGGACTGCTATTTCTTATCTTATGGTGGAATCATTAGTTCTTCAAGAAAAAGACAAAATTTTTTCTCCTTCTGATAATTGCAATTTTATTTTTGAACATTAGATTGTTCTCCTTCCTACTTTTCATTTATTTTCTTTATTTCTGGAACTCCTATTAGGTATATTGTGTGTCTTTTAAATCTAAACTTCATGGGTTTTGACTTTTCTTTCACATTTCATGTCCCTATATAGTTCTCTGCATAATTCTGGGTAATTGCCTGAAATCAATAACCTCCCCTAAACTATGTTTTGCCTACTATATCTTCTACTGTTCAATTGATGTTCAATTATTCATGTCAGTGACTATTTTTCTTCATTACACAAATTTAATTTGGTTCTTTGGGTAATATACCAGTTATTTAAGAAAAATAATATTTATAGTGAGAGCAAAGTTTTAGGGGAAACAAAAACAAGCAACACTACAACACTAACAGCTTTGAAGTAAATTAAACGTATGTGGTGGCTCTGCCTGAACCTACCAACAACTCTCTAACATATCTCTTTTCAGGCTCTGAGGTCTCTCTGCTCATGGAGCTACCATGGACAGCCATGTGAAACTTTACCCAAGCCTATCCTTTACAAGAAGTACCCCAAGGTTCTGAAAGAGTCAAGGGTATGAAAAGTATGATATTCATAAGAATAATTGTAGTCATCAGGGTTCCTGAAATTTTAGTATTAGTTTTGCAGCTATATAGATATCGACATAAAATTTGGTGATTTAGAAGGCCTGTTTTATCTTTACAATTCAATAACTGAAAATTACTTTTATTTCATAGCTCAAATTATGTTAAATCTCATGTGTCCCATGACTTCATCTTTCAAGATGGTCAGCAGGTCTAACTTGGTGGGTATATATATAAAACACTGACAAAACAAAGAATGAAATAATAAAATAACAAAGCTAGAGGCATTTATATATATTATATATAATATAATTATTTAAATATAATTATTTAAATAATTAAATATAATATATAATTAAATAAAATATATATTTTATATATTATATATATTATAAATATATATAATATATAAAATATATATTTTATATATTATATATATTATAAATATATATAATATACATATATTATATAAATTTATTCTATATTATATACATATATATTATATACATATATATTATATAAATAAATATATATTTTATACATATACATATATATTATATACATATATAATATATATTATATATTATATATATGTGAGTATATATATATACTTGAGTGTGTATATATATATATATATATACACTCACAAGACAGAGATGGAGAGAAAGAGATGAAGGAAGCCAAACTCATCCTTTTATCAGGAACCCACTCTTGTGATAACTAACCCACCCTGAGATGAGGGCATTAATTCATTCAGGAGGTCAGAGCCCTCAAGACCTAATCACCTCTTAAAGGTCCCACTTCTCAACACTGTTGCATTTGGAATTAAATTTCCAATACATAAACTTTGAGGGACACATTCAAATCATAGCAATATACAAAATAAGTAAGGAAGACAGTCAACTCTGTACTACTACTACTAATAATAATAATCTGATTTTATATTTATTTATTTATTTATTTATTTTGAGACAGAGTCTCGCCCTGTTGCCCAGGCTGGAGTGCAATGGCGCAATCTTGGCTCACTGCAACCTCCGCCTCCCAGCTTGAAGTGATTCTCCTGCTTCAGTCTCTTGAGTAGCTGGGATTACAGGCATGTGCCACCATGCCTGGCTAATTTTTTGTATCTTTAGTAGAGACGGGGGTTTCACCATGTTGGCCAGGCTGGTCTCAAACTCCTGACCTCGTGATCCACCTGCCTTGGTCTCCCAAAGTGCTGGGATTACAGGCATGAGCCACCGCACCCAGCCGATAATCTGATTTTAAAAATGAGCAAAGGAACTGAATAGACATTTCTCAAATGAAGACACCACAAATCACCAACAAGTATATGAAAAAAAATGCTCAATATCTATTACCACCAGGAAAACATTAAAACTACAAAGAGATATCACCTCACACCTTTTAGAAAGACTACTATCATAAAGATGAAAGATAAATGTTGCCAAGTATAGGCGGAAAATAGAATCTTTGCACACTGTAGGTGAGAATATAATTTGGTACAGCCAGTATGGAAAACAGTATGGAGGTTGCTCACAAAATTAAAAATAGAACTATTATATAATCTAGCAATTCTACTACTGGTTATATATCCAAAGAAAGTGAAATCAGCATGTCAAAGAGATATCTTCACTCCAAGTTTATTGCAGCATTATTTATGGTAGCCAAGATATGGAATCAAGCTAAACATCCATTAATGGATAAGTGAATAAAGAAAATGTAGTATATACACAGAGTAGAATACTATGTAGCATTAAAAAAGGAAAAAAAAAAGTCCTGTCATTTGGGATATGAATGAACCTGGAGGACATTATATTAAGTGGACTATGTCAGGCACAGAAAGACAAAGTGCTACTTATCAATTCAGCAATCTATCCGTTCTTTTTATTCGCATGAAAACATTGCATGGTGTCTAAAGTGACGTTCAATGAAGTAGTCACTGTGTTTATATAGACAGTGTTGCATGAGCTTGAATATACCAGCTCACCTGAGTTAAATGCAACATTTTTTGGAATTTTGTAAGCTGGTTTTTAAACTACTGGAAGCTTAAAATTTGCCATGCTGGGAATATTTACACAACTGAAATTGGCAAACACTACCTTTTTTGTTTGTCTGTTTTTCATAAAGCCGGTTTGCTAAGATACCATTGGACAGAATGATAGAAAATATAGTTATTTGTTGATTATTTCTTGGAACTTATTTCTTCTGATCAACTATTAAATAAGCATATATCATGTTAATAAGAACTGAAAAATATTATATTTTAAAAAAACAAACACAAACCACATTTCTAATTTTTCGTGATTTTCTTTTTACTTTTTGATCCCTCAAAACAAGATCCTTTTTTCACATATATGATAGCATCTTCAGTTTGGAGGAAGAATTGTATCTTGCTTACTAAAGGGTTTTCATGTTCTACAATCTCTATGACTTCATGAAAAAAAAGGACACTTCCAACATCTACAAATTCTAGGTAAAAGCCTGTCAATAAATTCCTCATTTCTCAGATACACATTAAAACATGCTTTTAAAGGGCTAGAGAAAATGGGTTTATCTGTGGTGGGGAGAGAATTACTTTACATCTGGAGATGTCTAATTTAATTTTATGAAGTGGTAATACTAACACATGTTTTACACATTCTTCTGTCCTGTCAAAACCAATTTTTAATGTTTTAACTTGTCCTCATTAACATGGAAAAATTCTTTAGCATTGATACTCATTAGCTATTTTTCTGTTTTGCAATTCTAATTCCTCCCTGACATTCTTAAATAGATCTACTGGTTTCTAATATTTGCGAAATGTGAACACATAAAGTTATGCACATTGAGCTGTCTAAAGCCATTTCTTTTTCATTTGTTATCAGTTCCTTATAAATTGTACTATTCACCAAACAGAACTCTTTGTTTTGTTCTAATCAATACATATTTTCTCTGAATGTCTTTCAAGTTATTGGACGCAGTCTTCTTAAATTTAATACCGCATTAATTAATTCAGTAATACATTAGGCTTTATTGACAAAAGAAAACAAACTTCAGGATTGATTGATTGATACCTTGACTAAATTCACAAAGTATCTCAGATAGTTTGCAAGAACTTCACATTATTACTACCTTCTAGATTTAATCTATGGATCTTTAATTTGCTGGTAGCATTGGCAAGAGTTTGCAGGGAAACTGTTAAGAAGGTATCACACTAGTCCTGAACCAAGAACATGCCAAACCATCAAATCACATTCATTTTGTGGTCACAGTCTACGAACCATTCCAATTCCTCCCCAAATTACCAGCCTCCCTCTCAAAGAAAATGCTACATAACTAAGACTGAACTGTTATTCTCTCTAGTCAACAGGAAGCTATTCTGGTACGGATAGGTCTCTTCCAAATGATGAATTGAACCTCTAGGTATCGGTAACCTTGATGAGTTTACAAAAGTTTGTAGATTTCACCTTACATATTTATTAGTGGCCTTTATATTTCACCACAGAGAAGGCATTCTCTCTCATGAAATCTACCTGCTCCATGGTTTAATACTTGTCCCAATTGTAACTTTCCTAATTAATGTAGCTGAAGCACAGGTTATGCATCACTCTACCATCACTACTACCAGCACTGTATCATCACTGTACCATCATGCCCCATCTAGTCTATCATGTGCCCTGACATCCCAATCCCTCCCCAGTGGATAGTACTTCAAAATCCTGTTCATCCTTTTACTGCTTTAAGGCTATTTTCCTGTTAGTTTGATTTGACTGACTCTGAGATCCTGAAGACAGTTTACACATTCAGCACAAAATTGAAGGCTGCCAAAACAAGAGAAAAAAAAAACTGGAGATCAATCTAATTAATAAATACCACATACCTCCTTTGCTCAAAGATGCTTACTACTGTCTGTATTTATGTATGAAATGTGTAACTCTTGGCCTTCATCAGATCTTGAAATATCTATTGATGCTGTCATTGTTTTAGAGCTTAAACCAGTTCTTAACTGGTTTAAACCAGATGTAAGATATAGAAGTCTATAAGCTGAAATAGATGGGTACCTATCAGTACATAAGAACAACTCATGACCAGGGACAATTTAATGCACATTAGTTACCCTAATAATGAGTTTCATTGACCTGTTATCTGTCCTAAAGACATAAAATTATCTAAAATCAGGACATTTTAATAGTGTCAATTACCATAATTAAGAATAATAACCTAATATTGGTCTCTTCACAACCAGATTGATCTAATTTCACAGGTTAGCTTTTTATCATGACCTGACACAGAATCTATACTTTGACTGCATCTGCAGAGGAACTCTCATAAGTGCCCTTTAACTATTCTTTCAGAGACAGGCATCATGCAGTTATCACTTCTCCTCCCTTATTCTTCTGGCATTTGTTCTTCTTGACCTATGGAATTTCTTGGATATACTGCACTCTAGCCATGGCTGTGAAGACCCATGTCAAATGGGAGAGGCTCTCTCAAAGTTTACAACACTTGAGTATTCAGGGACATCATTCAAAATGTGGACATATTATTTGTCTCTATGCCACTGTGTCAAACGTTGTCACTTGGGAAGCTAAGCAATACCACTTGTACACATGGCCCTCCCAGAATAGTTCACAAATACACACCCTTCAGATTCTGCTTGCAGTTCCTCACTTTGGAACTCAGATACCAGTCATAATGGCACATTAGGCAGAGAAAATCCTACACTACTTTCTGTCTCTTCTCTTGCCAATAATCTTCTCAAATCTTCTATTCTCTATGCAAACCAACTCATGGGATATGTCCCCTGCAGGCCACTCGGTAGAAACATTCCAGACAAATATACATCCACCTTAGTCTCAATTAGGACAATTTCCTGAATCTACATTACAGTTCAGTAGGTCAGAACAACTAAGGCATGCATTTTTTCATCTTTCTTTTGCACTCCTTTATTTTTCTACTCCAGATTTGCATCAGGCTTGTCACCCCTGTTGTTATCAGATTATCTGAGTGTAGCAGGGGCAACAAGTTATTCTCGTAACCACTGATTTGCCCCAGATCCATATCCTCCTACCCAAGCTTGAATCTCCATTTACCACCAACCCAATTCAGCCTGCTTACCCTTGACATGAAGCCAATCTCATTGCTAGGTACTGCCCATGAAGTGTGCCTGGGCGTCTGTAAGCATTTGGAGCTATAACATTTTCAGAGTGAAGCATAAGATTAAGGGCAAAACTGCTGAGGAAATGGGAGACTAATAAAAAAATTAGGAACAAGGCCACTGCATTCAGAATAAAAATTCTCATAAGGATTTTTTTTTTTTTTTTTTTTTTTTTTGAGACAGAGTCTCGCTCTGTCGGCCAGGCTGGAGCGCAGTGGCACGATCTCGGCTCACTGCAACCTCCATCTTCCGGGCTCAAGCAATTCTCCTGCTTCAGTCTCCCCAGTAGCTGGGATTAGAGGCGTGAGCCACCGCGCCCAGCCTCAGGGGGATATTTCAAGTACTTGGAGGCTAGTCTTAGAATGAGAACAGCTTGAGATTGTGTTCCAGTCCCACGAATTGCTCTCTCAGTTTCAGTAGGAAATGATTGTAGCTAGTTCTATTGCTTTCAGAAAATAAACACTTTAACAACTTGGAAACACCAAATCCAGTCTTATTAATGACAAAAGGCAAGGATGCAAATCAAAGATACAGTGAGGACTATTTTTTTCTGCATTCATCAAAAAAATCTATGAAATGGATATATTTTCTGAACACAATTTTCCATTTATTTGGAGAAAAAAATACTAACTTCTGTCAAGGAATATTCCACATTTGGTCTCAAAAGGTTTATAAGTGAAAATCAATCATACTTGAGAAATTGAGTTTTTTCATAGTTACTGGGTGAGAGGCATACTTTATGAAAGTAAATGGAGTTCTGTCTCGAGATAATGAGAATATAGTTGCCAAGAGAAACTGTGAAGTATTCCCTACAGATCTTTTTTCCTACTTGATCCTATATCATGTAATTATTTTTGGAAAACTTTCAAAGTAGTGATGATTGTAATGCCATAAAATGAATAAAGGGGAGGGCAACAGTTCCCAATTAAGATCGGAAGAGTAATAAAAATGTAAAGAATATGAAGGCCCTGCCAGCTCAGTATTACATTTTGAGAAGCAAGTACTGAAACTTTTTATTTCAAATGCCAGCAATTATCTGCAGCTCTTAATATAGAGATGCTTTTCAGTTTCTTTTTTCTATTTTTTGTCTGCTTGGCCTAGAACTTTCTGTATATTTCTAATATGGGATACTCTGTTCTTAGACTTCACTCTCCTTTCATCTTTCTTAAAACTATACTATATCCTTTCACAATTGCTTCTCTGACCATATCTTTGCATCTTTCATTAGCTCCTGTTCTTTCACTTCTTAGATTTGGAGCTATCCAAAGGTTCAGTCCTCTATGCTCTGCGATCTTTTAGTCACGGTCATTATCTACACTCAAAACATCATAAATTCCCTGTGTGTTTGGGTCCCAAATCTTCATATTTAATCACTTTGAATTTCTCTTGGATGCCATCACGTCTTTGGGATTCATTTCTTGCTGAAATGGCTTCTGTTTTTTTTTTTTTTTCTAAAGAAGCTTTCCCTGAACCCTCCTGTTGCAAAACAAGAACAATTTGTACATTGTAGTTTATTGCATATTCACAATATGTTACAATCCTTTGATTGCAAAGCCTTGAATGTAAAGCAGTTGCCTTAGTTGGTAGCGGTATGTCATCTGGAACCTGCTAACAGGCCACTCATACATGTACTCAAAAGGATAAACACACCTTTAAGTGTCACCATATTCCAAGGTCAGACAGGAAACAGGAGACTAATCTTAAAAATTAGCAACAAGGCCACTGTATTCAGGATGGAAATTCTCAAGGGGATTTTTAGACAATATGTTTGGGCAATCTGCATTGATACAATGTGAGGTAGTTACCACCCACCGCAACGATGAGACTTAGGCTTACAAAATTGATAGAAGATAGAAATGCAAAGACCAAATTCATTTAAATAGCTATATATAGCCACCAAGAAATAAAATATGTATCTTCATTGATCAAGACATTATTTTTAACGCACATAAATGGAGTTTGAAGGTCAAATTATAATCAGAAGTCTAATCAAGTATGTATACAATTTCTACATTAAGAGGTATGTGAAAGCCTCTAGCCATTAAGAATCCTGCCAATGTTTGGGTCTTCAGTTTAACTTTTTTTTATGTTCCCACCTGAATAGCACATTTTCACTTTATTTATCAATGCCTTCAACAAGATTAATGATGAATATTATCCTGGGACATTTCCTACCTTTAAAAAGAGATTTGAATGCGGATAACCTATTCTTTCTAGTGGCTGTTTTACAAGTTAAAACTTAAAATTAAGTGTGAATCTTATTTTCTTATTTTAAAATTCATGCAGAGGAGTTAGGAGAAAGGGAGGAAACTGAGGATTCTCTATATCTTCCCTTTGGCCGTTTTGCATCACAACTGGTAGTTCTTGATCATCTAGTACAATTCCTCAGTAAAAACATACTAGAAAATCAACAAATATGAGTGGAAAAACCTAAGAAAAAATAATTGGATTAATTTCTTATCTTTTTGTTAAATATGAACCCCTAGAGTATTGTAATTATGATAATTGCTGAAAAAGACACTGACATAGATTGTCGTTGCATTTCTACCACTTTATAGGGCTAATCATGTCTCCGTTATGTACTCGGACATTGGGAATTGTTTTATTATTATTGTTATGCTCATATGGGGCAAGAAATGAAACAGAAACCTATTAACTTAGAGATAAGCTTTCTTAGAAAGGTGTTTTGTTTTTTTTGGGGGGGGATGGGGAGTGAGCAATGAAGTACAGAAGAAATATTTCAAATGTTTTATTTTTTGAATCCGTAATTTAAAGCAATAGTACTCACTTAAGCTGTGGAAAGTCCTATATTTTTTGTCCAGTTTTGCATTCTATTATTAAGCTTAATTTAAGGGAGAATAGAAAGGTAATAATGGATTAAAATGTGTTATTTTATATTGATCTATCCTGATTTCATTATTTAAGTGTAGAAAGCTTTTCCTTGCATCTCTTACAACTATGTTAAATATGTAAATACTCTGAGTAAAATATGTCTCTACCCCACTTATAATTTAGCCAATAAATCATTGACTATTTATGAGTACATAATATGTGTCTGATCCTGACCTTGGTAGTGAAGATATATCATTTTTACAAAGAAATAAAACATATAAGGTACTCAATAATGAGTGTAGAAGTTAACAGGCATTCAACCTTCACAGAATTGCCAAATGCTGGTATAAGTAGTGTTTCTTCAGCTCCCACACACATACACGATCACCAGGAATTGGATCTTTTCCCTCAAGAGCCACAGCATAGTAAGTAGTACATGATCATGGACTTGGTTTTTCCCAATAACCTTGAAATGACAGAACCACAGAAAATAATATCTAAGTGATTATCCCTAGTATTTAAGAAAATAACGCATTTCGAATCTACAAAATATTGACAGTATGGATGTAGGCTCATATTAGTAAGCACGAATTTGAGAAAGAGATGGAAAAAAATGCCAGAAGAAGGTTTTGTAGCACAAAGTCCTCAAATAGACTTGAGTTCCAGGTGTGGGTTGCTGTGCAGACAAGCATGTCCATTTAAAGTATATGCATTGGCTCAGGACATGCTGGTAGAATATAAGAGCATGAAATAATCCTAGTGGAGTTCAGATACACTGCCAAGATCTTATCAACTTGTTACCTGTGAGACTAGTTTGCTTAGGCCTTGCTTCAACAGAACATGCCATCCAGGCATTAGCATAACTGAATGTCTTATTCTGGGTACCCCTTGGCCCAGCAACTATTTAGCACTGTTTTCCAGATTTAAGCATCTCTGAGATATCATTAAACCTACATCAAGCCACCTAGCACCTATATTAGCATAGCTGTCATTCATTCCAAAGTCAGTCATGGAAAGTTAAAAATACTTCACTGAAGTTTGCCATGCTCCAGCTTTTTCTTTCCAGTGGCCTCTACCAATGTCCTGGGACACAGCACAAGTTCTATGTGTCTACCAGAAATTAGCATGTTTGATTATTTTGTGTAATTCATTCTTGCATCCCCAACAACAACACACTTCTCATAAAGCCAATTCTTCATTGTTCTATACCAGTTATTATCAACATATGGTCCCTAGACCAGCAACACCACTATTACCTCTTAACTCATTAATAATACAAATTATCAAGTTCCATTCTAGACCTATGGAATAGAAACTCTGGAGGTAGGGCCCAGCCATCTGTGTCAAAACAATTGCAAAATTTTAAGAACCACTGCTCTATATCATGCTACATGAAATAGACAAGCCATTAGCAATGCATAAACAGCAATAGATGTTGTACCATCGTTTTACATTTGTTATTATATATTGGTAACTTCCAAATATTAGTAAATCTAAAACACTTAGAGATGAGGACACCTACAAAGTTGAGAAAGTCCAACAATTGGGGAAATCCAAGTACTAACTAGACAATAAAATGCTGACAGGGCACATTGGCTCATGCCTGTAATCCCAACAATTTGGGAGGCCAAGGCAGGAGTACCACTTGAAGTCAGGAGTTTGAAACTAGCTTGGGCAATAAGGCAAGACCTTATCGCCACAAAAATAAAATAAAATAAAATATTGTAAAATAAAATAAACTAGGTACAGTGGTATGCACCTGTAGTCCCAGCTACTTGGGAGACTGTGGCAGGAAGACTGTTTGATCCCAGGGGTTTGAGGTTATTGTGAGCATGATATAACATGCATTTAAAGAGCAATAATGTCAAATTTGAAATTAAGAGTCCCTACCTTCAGAACCTGCATAAGATATGCGCACTGTTAGATAAGTTGAGGGATTTACAAGATTGTTGTAGGAGTGGAATATAATAACCCATGGAAGTTCCTAAAATGTCTTTTAAGAACTAATTATCTGGAAGATAATGAATACTCCACATATACTTCTAGAAACTAAATCTTGATTCTTTTCTTTCCTTTGCTGGCATAGACCTAGATTAATTTTTGAGCTTTTATTGCCCAGTTTTCTATTTCAATCTGTATGGTATCCATTTTACTGAAGCAGCAAAACAACTTTCCCTTGAATATTGGATGTACATTCTGAAGAGACAGATGCAAATGTCCAGGAACTCTTCAGGATTCTGCATTTGGATCTGTATGTAAGATAAAACATGTAGGAAATTCTAGTTGGCAGTACTCTAGTGGCAAAAGATCTGAAGAAACAAAGATTGTCATTGTTGTTATTTTTCCTGGACACTGGCACTTCATTTCTTTTACCAAATGAACTTAATAACTGCCTAATATAGATAAAAGTATGTAAGGAAATTCTTATTTACTTGTGCAACCATATTATATCATTGGCTTTCTACAAGTAGGAGATGATAGAAGCCCCAAAGTTAAGAAATGATACGGTCTCTACAAAAAATTCAGAAATCTTGAAGAAATCAGAATTAGAGTACATACATAAGTTGAATAGAAGTCAAATACTAAAAATTAAGAAAGTAAGCAAGCAGGTGAGACACCTAAAAATGAAACCCAGAACTCAAATCACTGGCCTGCATATATGTGGTTTAAGATTCCTGTCTGAGGGAGGTCAATGTGATTTAAGCTCTTTTACAGAGGAGGAAACTAAGGTTAGACGAACTGGTGTATACAGAGTAGGGAAAATTGAGTCCTATATGTCACATATATTTTCCTTTACATGATCTATGTTACTGCTCTACTTATATGTTATAGCTGACCTTCCTGTATCTAAAGCCTGTCCTCTGCCTTCCCAGATCAACATCATTTTGTGTTATTATTTTAGAAATATTAAAGCAAATTTTATCATTTTTATTGAAACATATTACATTAAACCTATTATTTACTATTAATTCTTAGAACAAATGTATTAATGTACTATGCTAACTCAATACTGTGACACTGAAGGATTAATTCTATTCATTAATTCCAACAATCTTGGAATCTTTACCAGAATTTGTCACTATCATCAGCCATAAAATTAAGATTAAATTTAGAATGCAGTATTACTGCTATGAAGGGAATTCCTAAGCAATGGGAGAGATCATTTGACATTAAAAGAAGACAAAGCAGGATACTTTAATAGAGTAATGTGTATTCACACAGTCTATTAAAACACATAAACCTATTTCATTCACGTATTATGTTTAGGTGTCTATTATGCAAAATATTTATTCCTCCCCTAAAAAAAAATCACACTTTAGTAGGAAAGACAAGAGTAACAAACACTAAAGGTGGAAAACTATGTAATTTTAGAAAGATGCCAAAAAGTTGTCCAGAGACAATTGCATGAAAGAAAAAAATTAGTCAGGGGCAGTATTCTAATCACTCAATATGAAATCTTATGGACATTAGAAGCAGAATTATTTCACAGAGGAAAAAAAGGAGGTATTCAGAAAGAGGATAGAAAGCAAAATGTAAAGGACGAACACAGTCAGGGCCTGATGTCTTTTTTTGGTGTAGAAGAGGTATATGGATCTTCCGAATTCTGTGTGGCCTCAAATAATCACAAAATAGTCAACCCTACGGGAAAGGGAGAGGTAGGCAGAAAGTTTTGCCATCACTGATCTTTCCCATTAGTGAAACTTAAAGGTGGTGTTTCTCTCAAATCCCTTCTAGTCAATCATGGCTAAGGGCTTCCAAGTGACCTTGGCAATCTGGCCTCTCCCACACTGGGTGTCCTTTACCCAGTCCCTGAGAAGCTTAGGGAGAAGAGTGAAAGAGAAAACAGGAAAGCAAAAACAACTTCAAAATTTCTGCCTTCAGCTAAGTCTGGGATTGTCCAAGCTGCCTCTAATGTGGTGTCAGCCAAGGCTCCCACTCTTTGCAGAAAAGTTAGCTGCTATAGGAGCTTGGAAAATTAGACCAGAGTAGTTGAAACTGACAATGGTTCAATATATTGTCACAAAGTCAAGATACATACTTATTGGAAAACAGTCATTTCGTATTGTTTCACTATGTAATTATCATTGTCATGGGTGGATCAAACATTCTGTGAGATTTCATTTCAAATTTATACTATATTTCTAAAATGCACTCCTGCAAGGACCCACTACTTTGTATTCTCTTTCCAACTCCCCCTCCTATCAGTATCTTTAACTTCAAAGATACCAGTTCATCTAATATCTGTACTTATTCAGTGTTTACACAGATAGCTTTGTATGTTGGAAGGTCAGAACATATCAGCATGGTTCATCTGTGATGTCACGCCCTCCTTCTGCTTTGTCCTTTTATGAATACATTTAACAGGCTGCTTGCAAATGAGCACAATTAAATAAAATAAAAACTGAGGAAAAACTCCGCTAAATTGTTAATACTCTAAGGGAAGCTGACATCTGTCTTGCACCAACAACTGTTGAGGAACATCTGTGTAAAGCTAGGAGGATACTATGGAGTTGTGTTTTGAGCTTTATTTAGTCTCTGAGTTGTTACTATTGGCAGATATTGGCTGGATATTTTTAATGTCATTCTCTAATGATTGAAACATACAAGCCATTGAAAAGTATAATAAAACAAATATCCTTGAGCTTTATTTAGTTTTTATTTAGTCTCTGAGTTGTTACCATTGGCAGATATTGGCTGGATATTTTTAATGTCATTCTCTAATGATTGAAACATACAAGCCATTGTAAAATATAATAAAACAAATATCCTTGAATATATTGCCAAAATTGAAAAACAAAAAACTTGCCTATATATTTGAAAGATTCTCAGACTCATTCACCACAACCACTCTCTTCCTTTTCAAGGGTAACTACTGCCCTCACATTATTGATTTTTATCCCCAAGTGTCTGTTAGCACTTTTTTGACAGCATTTCTGAGAATGCAATTCACATACTATGCAACTTACCACAATTTTAAGCGATGCAATTCGATAGCTTTTAGTATGTTCACACTTTTACAATCTTTTTGTCTATTTTCTGTCTCTGTAGATTTGCCTATTGTGGACATTTCATATAAATAAAATATTAATATATGGTGATATGTGATTGAGCTTCTGTCACAGATGATAACTTTTTAAGGTTCATCTATGTTGTAACATGTGTCAGTATTTCATTTATTTTAATTGCAAATAATTTCCCATTGTGTAGATACATCACACTTTATTCAGCCACTCATCAGTTCATAGACATTTTGGGTTGTTTCTACTTTTTAGCAATTATGATTAATGATGCTAGGAAGAGTCATACAAAATTTTGTATGAACATGAACATGTTCTCATTTATCTTGGGTATATACCTGGGAGTGGAATTGTTGCATCATATGATTCCATGTATTTAACCATTTAAGGAGCTGTTACACTGATTTCTAACATGGCTGTACTGTTTTACTTTTTCATCAAAAATGCATGAGTTTCCTTTTCTCCATATCTCTGCCAAAAAGTGTTATTATCTGTCTTTTCTGAGTATAGCCATCCTAGTTGGTAAGATGTGGTATTTCATTATGGTTTTTATTTTCATTTTCCTGATAGCTAATAATTACTTATATTACATATTTTAGTATTCTTAACATAGTATTATTATATAATTTGTAAAACATTGTATAGATTTAAGCCAAATGAAACACCATTTCTAACATTACTTTTTCATCCAAAATTTTATTTTTGAAATTCAACATGTCAATATATTTGGTTGTCATTCACTTATTTTTTACTGCTCTCTAGTATTCTGTTTTATGGATGTAACCATTTAATCATTCTTCTGTCTGTTAATGACTGCTAAAGTTGTTATCAATATCAGTTATTGTCTACAGTGCTGCTAGGAGCACTGTTATTCATGCCTCTTTGTGCTCACATGCCAGAATACTCCCAGGGTTTAGGGTAGTCAACTTTTGCCAGCTTGCCTTCTGATTTTAGCACTGCAAATCTCTTGTCTGGGAAATCATTAGTTCCAAGTAAACCAGTTCTGTTGGTCACCCTATCCCTGGCATATAATTAGATGTGGAATTGTGAGATCTTGAGCTGTGTGAGATAAAGTCACATTCTCCTTCACTGTGGTTTCACCAATTAACATTCCCACCAACAGGGTTAAGAGTTATGGTCTCTTTACAACCTTATTAATTGTAATGTTTGGCCATTTGTCTTGTTTAGTGATACAGCAAAACTCCAGGGTAACATGTTCCTTTAAAACTTTAGGTCACATATAATTGGATTAATAATCCTTTCTCTTCTCTGCTTTTCCCTTGCCCAATGAATTGAAATCTTATCATCTTATCTTCTGGTTAGGATAGGAGAAATAGGACAGACCACTCCACCTCTAAAAATGTATAGAAAAGGCTGGGTTTTCATATCCCCCTGTATTCTGTAGGTTCACACTCCCTAAATCTGCTGGTTAAAAAAATGATCTCTAGAATCTCAGCCAACTACAGATTCCAGAAATGACCCTTTAAAAAATGAATAGAGAATGGCAGCTGGGTCAGCATGATGTTACACTACATGTCCTGACCCTGGAACTTCTGTGGCTATTTCAATTAACTCATTGCATCATATTAACAAATACTGAAATTTTACACAATTGTAAGTATTTTACCTCACTATGACTTTATGACAGGTTTTACTCTATATTATAATCATAAGCACACATGCATATGAATATATGTGAGTATATATGATTTTGTATTTATTTTTTAATATAAATGGATTACAGATAATTTCGTGTGGTTGTCTTTGTGTTACATACTTTGAAACATATGCTAATATAATATACAAAATACATTTTCTTATTCGAAATTGCTAATTCCACAACATCCTTTGGATTCCCTCTTCCTCCTTGCCATGACCATTATGAGCAATATTGTCTTGTGTATGCACTAATGTAATTAATCTCAACTATATTATGGTTTATGGTTACTCCACATTCACTTTTTCATGCACACATACACACAATACACACACATGCATGTGCACGCACACACATTTATTCCAAACTACTTTCTACTTTTCTGCAAGGGTCATTGATAAAACTTCACCATGTAAAACTATAACATATCTGCACGTGCTAACCAGGCTGAATACTATATAATTTTGAAATAAGATTAAAACAGATATGTTCACAGAAGTACATCTTTACTACATGTTTTAAGTTCACAGAGTAAATCACTATAATGAAAATATATGTGTGATGCCATTCAATGTATCACTTAAAAATACTTATTTCCAGTGATATAACTATTTGTGGAGGGAGGTCACTGTACATGTGACTGTAACATCGAGCTATTTTTGAGAGTGTTCATATTTTCAAATTCTTATATTTCAAACCTAAATAGCTACACTTTACACAAAAAATAGTAAAGGCTTCATTCTAACTATTATTGTGAGAGTGGACATCAGCACACAGACTTAATAGTTCAAGCAGAAAAAAAAAAAAGAGAGAGAGAGAGATTCCTAGATTCTGAGATTTGTACTACCACTCCCACGACATCACTCCCTTGGGTTGTTAAAAATTATCTTAGCACTTTGAACAGGTGAATAATCCCACTGACCTTCTGATAAAAGTAATTACATGCTGTGAATGAAAGTTAATTTTAGTATCAATTTATTGTCAAACTCTTCCAATTGTGAATAGCAAAATGTACACGTCTTTTTTGTTCCTCTGGGTTGCTAAGTCAACATTTAGAAAGTTTTTTTTTTTTTTTTGGCTGGGTGTGCTAGTTCATGCCTGTAATCCCAGCATTTTGGGAGGCTGAGGCGGGAGGATCATCTGAGGTCAGGAGTTTGAGACCAGCCTAGCCAACATGCAAAACACCATCTCTACTAAAAATACAAAAATTAGTCAGGCGTGGTGGCGTGCACCTGTAATCCCACCTACTCGGGAGGCTGAGGCAGAAGAATTGCTTGAACCCGGGAGGCTGAGGTTGCAGTGAGCCAAGATCATGCCATTGCAGTCCAGCCTGGGCATCCGATTAAAAAAAAAAAAACGTTTTTTTTGTGACAATTTTTAAATGTAATTTCCAGGAATTGATAAGAGATTGAGAGTAGTCAGACTGTTGTTATTATTTCTAGTGAGATCCCAAACCACAGACTAGTGTTAGGAATGGGATGGATACATGGTAACACTGCAGTGTGTTCCAAAATATAATTTCTGGTTTACTTGAGGTAGGAATTCATTCTAGATCCATCAGTTGCAGATTTTCAAATCGGGGATGGCAGTGAGCCAAACAGAGTGGTATCAGGTAGAAATCTAACAAATCACTCACTCAAGATGGCATCTGCAAAATCTGTGAGGCAAACACTTATAATTTACGATCGTATTTTGTTGCTGGATTGGCTCTGTCAAGAAAAGTCTGAGTAGAAACCACAAAAGATAATAAATTTACATACTGCTGTGATTTGAAAATACGTGGCTGATTCTTCAAATACTAGCATCAATTGTCCTATAATTGTAATATCCTTCCTCCAAGTGTTCCTGTATCTTCTATTATCTTCTATTTTCTTAAATGTAAAAAAGAAATTTTATAAACATTGTCCTATCTGATGTTTTTCTGAACAAAACAGTAAAATAGATACATAAGAAATTCATATTTCTATTATCTAACACAATTATGGGCATCTTTTTCTGATAACTAGGTTACTCATCACTATGGGGTACATTTAGATTAAAATATCAGTACAAGGTGCTCTTTATTTCTGGACACTTCTATTGGGTTGTAACAGAGTGCTATGTGTTAATTCCAATATATTGCTAAATTTAGTTGTGAAGTAGCCTTTGAACTAATTGATATCCTTTCCCAGTGGTTTGGTGACATTAATCCCCTACATTGCCATTTAAAGTATATCTAAATGTGACCACTAAATTATAATGTTTGATTATTTTCAACAGATTAATCAAAGATTACAGAATACTAGAGGTGAAAGAAAATTTACAGTAGTCTGTTCTATTTTTCCATCTCCCCTCCAATAAAAAATTTTATTTTACACACACACACACACACACACACATGCGCGTGCACGCACTTTCTCAGATGAGTTACAGCTTCTCTTTGATTTCCATAGTCCAAGTCATGATAAAAATTTCAAACTCAAAGGATAAAAAAGGACAGAAATAAAAATTCTACAAGAAGAAAATAGAATGAGACACAGAAATTGAAGTCAAGCAAATCGATGATAGTGACTTTGCAGCCAATACAAGATTAAGTGCTAAGAGAGTGGAACAAAATAGAGAACTGTTGTTTCCTTCAGTCTGAAGCTTTTCTTGGATTTACTTTTTTTTCAATAAATATTGAGTTATATTTCAACTATTAATTACCTTTTAGTAGTGGTATGAGATTTATTTTTTTTTTTTGCCATCGATGGCATCTTTAGTTCTAAAAAGTATGGTATCATGATCCCCATTTTATAGACAAGGAAACAGAGGACAAAGAGGCTAAATACTGGAGCCTAGACTGGATCCCAGCAGTATAACTGACTACTCAGCATTGTATTTCCTCCCTTTAGAACATGTTGACGAACTCTTCATAAGCATAGAAAGAAAGAATCATTGAGTGCTCAAGTTCATCAATGACTACCCAACCTTCAATGCAATAATGATACTGTAAGACACAGAGTCACTGAACTAACCGGTCAAAATACTGTTAAAGAGATTATTTATATTTTATTCAATTATGTGGGGTGTCCCCTATGAGCAAGTGACCTGTCAAAAATTGTTTATTCCCTTAGATGCTTAGTACATTAAAATGCAAACTTAAA
Organism: Homo sapiens; assembly: GCF_000001405.40. Lineage (NCBI taxonomy): Eukaryota > Metazoa > Chordata > Mammalia > Primates > Hominidae > Homo > Homo sapiens. Next base: position 83,444,411 of record NC_000002.12, read on the forward strand.
AATTTTGAAGGGATCAGAAATTCAAGATCTATTTAACACCTACACCAAAGGAGCTATATTTCTCAAAGGAATACATTTTTAAGAATTCTACATTTAAGTTTGTAAACTACAGAGTCTGACACAACAGTGATACGTTCCACAGAGAGAGAACTTCTGGAATGTTTCGTCCAGTGAGTGTTTTAAAGAGTACCAATAAAATGCTAATGAAGGGCCATCAGTTACACTGTATTTCAAATGAAAGATCTGGCACACAGATTTTGCTTTTTATGAGGCTTCTCCTTAAAAACTAATCAAAGGTAGTATATCTCCATTAAGGTTCAAAATGTTAGGAGAAAGAGATTGGCATGACTGAAAGTCAGCCCACAGCCAGACTGCATGCCTCTTTGGGAAGCTGGCCTCTTCTGATGCATTCCCAAACTCTTCCTCAGGGCTGGAGCCGTCCTGCTCCCTCAGCTTCAGCAGCACTCAGGCACTCAGTTGCTGGGGAGGAGCCATTCCTGACAGAAGAACAAAAAGGGGCAAAAAGCAAATATCAATCAATCATAAAGGTTGCCTTTTGGCTGGGTGCTATAGCTCATGCCTGTAATCCTAGAACTTTGGGAGGCTGAGGCGGGAGGACCATCTGAGGTCAGGAGTTTGAGACCCAGAATTCTTAAAAATGTACTCCTTTGAGAAATACAGCTCCTTTGGTGTAGGTGTTAAAATAAATAGATCTTGCATTTCTGATCCCTTCAAAATTTTTAAGTTTGCATTTTAATGTACTAAGCATCTAAGAGAATAAACAAACTTCGAAGATATTATAGCTTGGGAGGCAAGATAAGACAGCTCGGTCAATCTTTGAAATATAAAATTTAAAAGAAGAGATTACATCTATTTGAGAGAAGAGTGGAATAATCTACAATTTCAATTGACCAGCATTTAAAAATGTAAATATAATTTGCATCTCAAGATAGTGTCCTTGTTGGGTCAGTAATTTTAGTAAGTTCCTCCCCACTTTTAACCTTACGGAAAGTCTGTAAATAACAGTTTTAGCTGAGCTTCAAGACTGTAAGAACTTTTTCAGACTTTGCTCCCTATCTACTTCTCTATTATTGTTTACTTTCTTCTTGTCTTCCTTTTTTGTCTATTTTCCTGTTCATTAGTTTTTTTCATCTATACTTAGATCATTTGAATAAACAACTAGTTAAATGATGTGCTTGGTTTTAATGTATTCACTAATTCAACGAATAATAATTTAATATAATAAAGATGATCCAGTGTGATCAGGACTAAGGTAAGAGTAACAAGAGAAATAGACAAAGTATTTTTCATAATTTAATATAATAAAGATGATCCACTGTGATCAGGACTAAGGTAAGAGTAACCAGAAAAATAGACAAAGTCTTTTTCCCCATGGAATGTGCATCCACTAACATCCAATGGAGTTAAAGGATGTCTTTCCTTTGTATGTCTATCCAAAAGACTGTCTTTAAATTTACTCAACTTATCCCCAGGCTCAACAACCCAGGTGAAATTCTGTCATTTCCCCACACACAACCCAGATAGCTGATGTACAGCATGTGTGGAAAAATATCTATAAATACTGAAATGTGGCCATGATAAAACAGAACACTCAGCATGCAGGAAAGCAGAGTAGATGTAGCTCACACAGGGATGGAGGAACATTGTTTGATTGTTATGTGGAGTACATGAACTTGAGCAGTGGAAGGAAATTCAGGACACAGGTCATTGATTACCTTAATACAATGCCAGGTTAAATGATTGAGGAAAAGTCTTAAATCCTTCAGGCTCTTAAAGAAGAATAGGTAAGAGAGATTTAAAGTAAAATAGAAGAAATTTTAGTGGAATATTTGCAAAAAGATCTGTATTGTCAAGTGCAAGGCATAATTTTTTTCAAGTGGTTCATGCTAAATGGACTTATTAAAAAGAGTGGAATCTTAGCTTTGGTGAGGCTGGTTGGTGAGGACACCCTTGAAAGCCAAGTCTCACTAGAGTCAAGTCTTACAGCAACCCTGGAATAATAAGTGAGCCATTGACCTTCATGTTCTATCCAATTAGCCAAAACCTTTTAAAATATGTGTGCTATGGAATCACCTTTGTATGGAAGGCAAATATCATATGTGCCAATTTGGATGCACAGGCAAGATTGCTAAAGGGGATTAGGGGGTACAGGTCTAAGGGTGTCAGGCAAAAAACAATGTGTTCTTATAAAATAATTTGAGTAGTAGAGAGATAGGCTTTTTTCTGGTATGGAGGGTTTAAAACTTATTCTTTCTTCACACTTGTACATATTTTTAAATGTCCAGCTCAGATATTACCTCTTCCACTAAAACTTTAATTCAGCCCAGACTGGATAAAATTTCTAAAGTCTTCTTTCTGTATCACAATATTTTGCACTTTATTTTTCTACATATATATCTACATATTTCTTTGTAATATGCCATTGATCCTGTGCAAATAGGAATAAATTATTCCTCGTCCTGCTCAGCACTTAGAACAAGGCAGAGACCCAAACAGACAAAAGGTTGAAATGTAATGCCTGATGAGTTTGAGATCAGTTGTATAATAACTCTTAGAAAGTCTCTTTCGTTTCATGGCCCTCAAAGGAGTGGAGCCCACAGCAGAGCATAATTTGAGCCAGAAGCCCACAGAACTTAGGGTCCAGTGATAAAAGCTTACGGAAGCCGCCACAGGACTAACAAATGCTGTAACGGCCTGGGGCCAACCGGAAAAGGGTGTCAGTCAAGGAAGAATGTGTTTTCTCGATTTCTTTCTGTATGTCTGCTTTGGCATAATTTAATATGGTTTATTCATCAGAGTGGGCCACTTAGCAGACCACAGCTATAGCCAGATCCAATATCTGTAACGCCATTAACCCCTACTCAAGTGGGAGGATACAAGAAGTAAACATGGCATTTTTTTTGTTTGTTTCTGGGATCTCACTGTCCAAAAAAATGTGCATTTGAGAAACAACACAAATAGAGGGTAAATTTTGTGTATTAATAAAACATATAACTCTGTGACAACCTATTTAATTTTATGAGAAGTTCCTAGTAACATCAAAGCTCTGTAAGATGACCAACTACAGGAAAGGGTAATAAAAACCAACCATGCTTTTTCCACAGAAGGAAGCTAAGGCAAATATAATCAATGGAATACTATTACTAGTCAACATTTCACACATTCCACATCTACTCTACCAAAACTCATAAGTGGTAAGGTTATCTTTCAAATCAGCATCTTCCATTCCAAATGGTTAGGGCATCTTCTAAGGATGCAACCCTTTTGCAACATCCAAGGCTCTAAACTGTACATTCCAAAACCGTGCTTCTGAGAAAGCTAATTATATAGTTAAGTAGGACAGACAATGCTAGCATATAAACTGTTTATTTGTCTTATTTATTTAGGGTTTACAAACATATTATGTCTTTTTCTCAAACCTTAGCATATTAAAATAAATTAAAATACATTGTAAAGGGGATTGGTACGAGCAAGACAGTAATAGCAATACAAGGCCTCAGTTAACAGTGACAAAAGTGAAATAAAATGTTGCATATGTGCATACCCAGATATGTATGTAAATACTACAAACAGGAGACACTGCCTTTTAGGTTGCAAACAAGCTGTTTTATATACTGTTATAATATATACCAATTGTCATTCCAAACATGGAAATAACTTGTTCAAATGATGACAAAAAGGCACTGACAAAGGTTGACATTGAGTTTGGAATGTCTCATCTAAAATAGACCAGGTAATCGTATTACCTAATTAAGATTTCCATCTAAGTGTTAGAAGAGCGACAGCAGCAAAAACAAAATGATTGTTTTTTCATGGGATGAGCTCCATTTCTTTGGTAAAACCACTAACACAACAGATAAGTGATATGTAATTTATTTCAAATTAAAGCTTGATGTTTTAAGAACCAGGCAAACAAATTACAAACAAAAATATGTTGAAATAATATATTTTCAATTGTCTATAAAAATAATGAACATTGAGAATATAACAAAGATATTAGCACTGATGATGGGTTAGGATTAGCAATCTACGTCGTTTCCATTGAAAACTCTGCCTAGTTCAAACAGGTCTCCAGGGTGTGGAGCTGGAAGAAAAGCTTCCCCGAGGCAAGGAACCAGAAATCCAATGGTCCTCTCTTTTATGTTCTCTTTCAGGAAAAAAGATCTCCAGAATTTGTTGTGTGTGATTGATATGGCATATTCTTTCTGAGATAGTGGTCTCAGACCATGTGTCACTTATGCATTCATTCACTCAAATATACCTTTCAAGTGACTGATTTATGCTGGGGTATGTAACAGGTATAATGTAATAAAAATTTAAATAAGATTTGGACCCATGCTTCCAAGTATGTCTTCTGCACGGATTGCAAGTATATTAATTTAAACATACTGAAAGCACTCTAGATTCAATAACCTACAAATATGTGTAAAGCAATAGCATTATTTTCTGTAATGAATCTTCTTAGGTTTAAATCAAAATAGTAACAATAAGAGTGTCAATACAAACATCTGTATATAGGACCTTTTTTTTTAATAGCTATATTATAACATTGGATGAAAGGGCAGAAGCAACAGAGCTTTCTGATTAGCTAGAAGGGGAAGGCAGAGAACAATGAGAAATGAAATTGTTGCAGATACAGTTAGCAGGGAAAGAGGAATAGATGGCCCCAAAGATACACTCTGTCGCCTTCATTATTTTAGGCAACTTGAGCTGAGCATGAATGCACAGCTATGACTTAATTTCTTCACACTTGACTAGATATGCCAAGAAATTTTGTATATGGGAGTACTATTTTTTTCAACTTCAGAAGTTTCATGGAATTTTGGAAAGAATATAAGCTCAGGAGACAGACCTGAAATTAAATTCTGGTGGCACTACTTTCTAAACAAGCAAATTTGGCCAAAATACTTATTTTTTTTCTCGTCTCTAAAATTAGCTACACCATGCCAGTGATAATACTTATGGAAACTTATGGCATGCCAGGCACGTCTAAGCACTTTAAGCAAGTCAGTTCATACTTTCTTGCAGTAATGCTATGAAGTAGGTAATATGATCAGTCCTATTTACAGGTAAGAAAACTGAGTCACAGTGTTTTAAAAGAATATGCCTGAGATCACACACCTAAGATGTATCGGAGCCAAACTGCAATGCCAGGATCACTGGCTCCAAAGCCCTTGTTTTCAGCATATTGGTAGTTAAAAACCTACCTCAACAACGAGATATTATAATACACCAATTAGAATGGCTAAAAATTAAAAGTGGCAAAATCAAATTCTCAAAATAATGCAGAGCAACAAAGCTCTCATTCATTGCTGGCGGGAATACAAAATGGTACAGCCACTTTGGAAAGCAGTTTAGCAATTTCTTACAAAGCTAAATATATGCTTACCATAGGATCCAGCAATCAATCACACTCCTAGATGTTTACCCAGATGATTTGAAAATTTATGTTCACACAACACTCTGCATATGAATGCTTATAGCAGCTTTATTCATAATTGCCAAAAATTGGAAGCCACCAACATGCCTTTCAATAAATGAATCGATAAGCATAGGATGGTACATCCAGACAATGCAATATTATTTAGCTATAAAAGGAAATGAGACATCAGATCACAGAAAACCATGGAGGAACCTTAGTTGAATATTGATACGTGAAATATGCTAGTCTAAATATGCTACATATTGTGCTATTCCAACTATATGACATTGTAGGGAAGACAAGCATAGAGAAAGTAGAAATATGAGAGGTGGCCATGGGCCTAGGGAGTGGGTAGAGCCATTTTGGGACAGTAGAATTACTCTGTATAATACTGCAATGGTGGATACAGGACATTAGGTATTTCTCAACGTCCATAGAATGTACAACACAAAGTGTGAACTTAATGTAAATTATGGACTTTAGTTAATAATAATCTATTAATAGTAGTTCATCAGTTTTAATAAATGTGTGGGTTCAGTATGGGGTGGAGAGGAGTTATATGGAAGCTTTCTGTACTTACTGTAGAACTTTTCCTAAAACTGCTTGAAAAAATGTCTATTAATTTTTTTAAGCATGAAAGAAAAAATATACCTTATAGCATTTTCAGGAGTAATTTGAGTAAGTAACATTGTGCAATACTGAATCCAATGCCTTCCAACTGTTTCAAGGAAGATAGTCTACAGTAGTCTAAAAAGCCATTTAATATTTTAATAATTACCTAGAAGATGATCTCAGACTGTAAAAGTCTTCCCAAAATGCAAAGTTATCCAGTGTCAACTAGCCAAATAGCTGCATGGTTTCCAACTGTACAAGAAAATTAAAGGCAATCTTCTAATGATATTCTGAATATTAGACATAAAGCACTCCTCAAATATTAAAATATTTAAAAAGCTGAGACTTTTTCCTTTCAGGTCAAATTTATCTTCATGATGCTCTCTCATTAATTGTTTTCTGAACAGCCCAGATGTCTTTATTCAGGGTCTCTGGATAGTAATCTTTTCCAGAGCTAAGGGCACTTTGTGTAAAAACAACAAAAAAAGTTTATTTGGTGCTTAGCAAGATTTTATTATCAACCATAGTGTCACCCTAGGGATAAAAGCATCCAAAAACGTCATCCAATGAACCTTCCTCTTTTCAAATAACACTGTTTATACATTGAATATGAACTCCTTTTTTGTCAATTATATCATTATAATCTTATGGTGATTACTAAAATTACCCACTTTTAGGGGTTCATAGCATTGGCAAGATGTGTTCAAAAATAGTGAAATTCGTCTAGTAAAAAAAAAAGCAATTAAGTCAATATTGCATATAGTATGTACTCAACAAAGTCATTTCCTAATAAGGGGATGTGATCATTTCTCACTGAACTTTTAAAATTAATTATCCATTATATGTTTAGACAGTACAAAGATTTAAAAAAATGAACAAGAGATGTTTTTTAAACACTGAAGTCTAAAGAGTGCAGTAGGAGGAAAACAATCGGAAGCTTTTGCATTGTGCTTCTTTTCCCATTTGTAGAATTTGCTCTTTAATGAATTTTTTTTTTTTTAGCACCACGATATCTGGGTTGTTAAAAGGAGGATTGCTCTATTGCTGTAGGTAGAATTGGCTAACCTATGGGACCTGAAACCAATTCTGTCATTCAGCAGGGAATTCCAGGTCACACAGTTAGAAATAGAGAGGATTTCAAAATTGATTATTGAATACCTACATTACTCGGTCTGTGTCATGTGCCAACCCTGACCTTATGCTCCAGTCTTATATCTAGGGATGAGCTCTGTTCTTTAGAAGCAATCTCTCTGGGTGTTGAAATTAAAACCAAAATGATCACTTGTAAAATTCACAATATCCTTAAAGAATAAACAAGTAAGATCTTCAGCAGGAACAAGAAATAGCCCAATTTTTGACATTTAGAAAAAAGAGAAAATTTCCACAAGGGTTTTGGTAAAAGTGTATATGATTTAACTGAGTGAAAATTATCTTCAGTAAACAAGGCAAAAAATATTTATAGAGCTGCTTCTCTAAGACATCATGCCAAAGTAAAATTCAGTTTAAGTAATTATAGTTGGAGCCAGAATTAAGTGATTGGTGTAGTTTTCTGTTGCAATTTTCTCATGATGTAGACTAATCCATGGTTGGGTATTAGAATTAAAAGAATCTCAAATAGCAGCCTTCCTGTTTTTTTCATGTCTTTTTAAAATATTATTGAGGAGAGGGGAGTAGATGAGAGACAAGGGCAGTGAGAGTTCTTGGATATTTTAGAATTTAATGAAAATTGCGGATGCTCTCCTCAGATTATATATCTATATATACACACATATATATCCATATATAATATAATACACATATTATATACTATATCTGTACACACAACTCAATTTTTTTAAATATAATCTCAGGAAATTTAACTTCAGGAGGCTGAATAATGTCTGAAAAGCCTCCATGAAACCTCAAGGAAGCCACAAACTCAAATAGATGAACGCAAAGAATATTCCTCTGGTAATTTTATATATACCTATATTACTGTCTATCAGTTGTGACTTTTGAAGTTATGGTTTTCAGTGAGTGCCAGATTACTGTCACAAATATCTAATTTATCATGAACTCTTAATATTGTCTATTTTGGGTCACAGTCTGAATGTGAATGTGCAACCTCATACATCAGCAGCTAACTAAGGCTGTGGGAGGCTCTAATGAAAAGAAGAAACTCCCTTTTTGGCATTACAGTTGAAATACACACACACACACACACACACACACACACACACACACACGCTCCGCAACTTATGATGGAGTTACATCCTGATAAACTCATCATAAGTTGAAAATACATTTAATACATCTATTGTAGTAGGCATCATACTTAGAGCCTAGCCTACCTTAAACATGACCTATGGTTTCGACCTATAGTTGAATATCTCATGAAATTTTTATATACTGTAATGAACGTAAAAAAACAGAATGATTGTATGGGCACTTGAAGTATGGTTTCTACTAAATGTGTATCACTTTCGCACCATTGTCAATAAAAAAAATTGTTAGGTTGAACCCTCTAAGTCAAGGTCTCTCTCTATATATAGACTATATATATATATATGAATACACACACATACATACATATATATGGAAAGAGAGAGAGAAAAAGAGACTATATACAGACTTATTGGTAATGTTTCTTATCCCTTACACATTTGAGAGAATGTCAAAGTCTTTTCACTTGCTGAGATATGCCAACTATTTATATTCAGTCTCCTCAGATTGTGGTCTACGGATATGCTTTTCTCTTTAGTAGGCTGGGAATTAGCCGGGGGTACGTAAACAGCCTGCAGATTAAAATCATCTAAAAAACTTTAACTAATGGGTTCTGCTCCTGGACAACCTGATATGATTTGTCTGGAGTGGACCCTAGACATGGGAATTGGTAAAATTCCCTAGGTGCTTTAATGTACAGCCATAGTTAACTGTCACTCTTATTGTCTCAAGGGTATGCCTTAACCAAAGAGGCATATAGAATCTCAAGGTTAATTTCATTAATATTAACAGTCTCCCTCAGTTTTGTTAGAATATAAAGCAGATCTTTGGTCTAAAATGTATTATTGTTGTAGGCAAATAATTTATAATGTATTTCCAGAGCCCAATCCCTAGAGATAAGAATAAAAATTGTGATATATAAACACAGTTGAGAAAAACAAAATTTTCCGTATCCTGGGGCCTATTTATTACAGTTGTAACCCTTCTCAATTTTTTTTTTTTTTTTTTTTTTTTAAGATGGGATCTTGCTCTGTCAGCCAGGCTGGAGTGCAATGGCTCCATCTTGGCTCACTGCAACCTTAGCCTCCCAGGTTCAAGCGATTCTCCTGCCTCAGCTTCCTAAGCAGCTGGGACTACAGGTGTGCACCACCACGCCCAGCAAATTTCTATATTTTTAGTAGAGACGGGCTTTCACCATGTTGGTCAGTCTGGTCTCAAACTCCTGACCTTGTGATCCGCCCTCTCAGCCTCCCAAAGTGCTGGGATTACAGGCATGAGCCACCATGCCTGGCCAGCCCTCTTTAATTTTAAAACTGAAATAGGGAAGATTAAGATAAAGTTACAATTTATTAATTTGCATATATTAGTAAATTTCTTGGTCCTAATGAGCATAATAATCCAAAATTACAAAATTATTTTCAGTTAAAAGTTTCAAGAGATCTTAAATAATAGCATCAACAATTACTGAGTATTTTTTATTCAACAGAAAGTTAATGTTCTTTTTTTTGAGACGGAGTCTCGCTCTGTCACCCAGGCTGGAGTGCAGTGGCATGATCTCGGTTCACCGCAACCTCTAGGAGAAAGTTAAGTTGTTGTTCTAGTCAAATTGAGGGATGCCTAGTACTTTGTTGTTTCTATACCAGCCACAGCCCACAGAACACCTCTGACCTGACCCAATCTCTGTTTTAGTATGGCCCATGAACTAGGATTTTTACATTTTTAAAATGTAAAATCAAAAGAATAATATTTGATTATACACCAAAGCTATGGGAAAATCAAATCCCAATGTCTGTAAATAAAGTTTTACAGGAGCGCAGTCACGCTCACGCATTTTGCATGACTGCTTTCACACTATGTGGTACTTGCCATAAAGAACACATGGCCCACGAAGCCTAAAGTATTTTTATTATCTGGCTCTTTACAGAAAAAGTTTGCAGATCCTCTTATATATCCATCTTTGTTTATTCATTTCCATTTGCCAGAAATTGTTTTTATTTGCCATGGCCCTCAAATAAGTTTTGCTGAAGAATTATTTCTCTATTTTCCTTATCTTCCTTTTCTCTTCTCATTTCCTTCCCTTCACTCTTTTTGTTTGTTTCAGGAGTTGAATACTGCAGACACTAAGTATGTTAATTATGTACCTTATTCAAAAGACAATCACGCTAATGTTTGATGTCTACCCTTTACATGTGTTCTTGGAAAATGTATATTGTTGATTACATTTTTATATTTATGTAAATGATAATTTATGGCAATGAGTTTCCCTTGGCAGTATGTTTTAAAACCCACTCTTGGTTTATTATTTCCATCTAAAAGATCATTGTTCATAATTTCTTCATAGTTCTCTCATATAAGGGATTTTTATCAATTCCGTCTCACACTGACAACCCAGATTGCTTCCAGCTCTCAGCTACATAAATAGTACTACAAGGAAAATCCTTATACATGGTCTTTATGGATTAAAGTAAAAATGTATTTAGCTTATGTCCTTGAAGCAGATATTCTATTAATGTAGAACATATTTATACTAAATTTATTCAGGTACCACCAAATTAGTCTCAGTAATGATAATACTCCCACTAGCAATGCATGAAAACCCATTAAGTATTTACTCTCTAGAGCTAACATGAAGAATAAGCTACATTGTTTTGTGTTGAGGTACAGTTGTATTATTTGATGGATATCTCACTTTATAGCTTTCACAAAAGTGCTGTTTTTATATATTTTTATTTCAGTCAGTGTGTGCACAGTCTATTCATTACGTGAATAAATTATCAAAATCAAACCTTCCCAATATATAAATTGAAATTGTGCTTTATTGTTTATTTTATTTTATTCTAATTTTTATTTTTTAGGTCTTGTGCATTTATCATTACATAGTCTATTCCTGTTTTAAAAATAATTTTAACTTTTATTTTAAATTCAGGGGATACATGTGCAAGTTTGTTATATGGCTATATTGTGTGATGCTGAAGTTTGGGGTAGGAATGATCCCATCATCCAGGTGGTGAGCATATTATTACCCAATATTACCTAAGAGTTTTAAAGCTTGATAAACAATGTGGCCTGCAGAGTAACGGCACCCAAAGATGTCCATGTCTTAATCCCAGGTACCTATAAACACATTATGCAACATAGTAAAAGAAAATTAAGGTTGCAGACAAAATTAAGGTTGTTAGCTGAGTTTAAGCTACAGGTGTTAACATGGATAATCTGGATGGGCTCAATGTAGTCACAAGCATCCTTAAATGTAGACAACGAAGCCAGAATAATTAACTTTAAAAAAGAAAATGTGACCATGGAATTGGTGTCAGAGTGTTGCGATTTAAGAAAGATTCAATCAGCCATTGCTTGTTTTGAAGATGAAGATAGAACATCTACAAACCCAGAAATAAAATCACACCCTAAAGCTGGAAAAGGCAAGAAAATATATTACTCCTTTCACATTTAGGAAAGACCTTGGAGGAGCCTCTTGACTAATAGAATGAATCCCTGTAACATACACAGAAGATCCATAATGGTTTGATAATGTTATGCCAGCAGAAATACTGACAACTTGTACTGAAAGGATCAGAGAAAAGATGAAATGAGAGAAGACTGCTGACTCCCAAAATTCTGTAGGCAGAAAATAAGATTAATAAAACTATTCTGCGGCAAACATGCATTACCCTTCATAACAAAAGAAGGATTTCTCAGACAACAGAGTAATGGGCCCAGAGGACAGAACCTTCGGCCCAGAAAGAGTTTTGAGTCATAGATGTTTTTTTGTTTTTGTTTTTTTAATTTTATTATTGTTATACTTTAAGTTTTAGGGTACATGAGCACAATGTGCAGGTTTGTTACATATGTATACATGTGCCATGTTGGTGTGCTGCACCCATTAACTCATCATTTAGCATTAGGTATATCTCCTAATGCTATCCCTCCCCCCTCCCCCCACCCCACAACAGTCCCCGGAGTGTGATGTTCCCCTTCCTATGTCCATATGTCATAGATGTTTTATCTAGGCTTTGAAAATCTTACAAAGTTTGCAATGCTGGATTTTAAAAATTGCTTGGGATGGTGACTTTCCTTACAGTTTCTCTGTTTTGAATAAGAATGTCTATATTCTGGTATCCAATGACAGTTACAACATTGTATTTTGGGTAGGATAAGTTATTTTCTAGTTTCACAGGTCCACAGATGGAGAGAGCTTTTTTCCCAGGATGAATCATACCAAGACTCTCATCTATACCTGATTTAGATTATTTAGATGAGGAAACTTGGGCCTTTTGAACTGATGATATTAAGATGAGATTCTGGACATAGAGTTGGTGCTATAAGGAGCGGAGATTTCTGGGATGTGGTAATTAATTTTGCATGTGAGATGAATATAAATCTTTGTCACCAGACGGCATACTATGATAGGCTGAATAATGGCCACCCAAAGTTTCCTTATCCTAATTTCCAGAATCTGTGAATACATTATCTTACAAGGTAAAAGGACCTTTGCAGATATGATTAAGTTAAGGACCTTGAGATAGAAGATTATCCTGGATTAACAGGGTGGGCCTAAGATAATCAAAAGGGTTTTTGTATGAGGGAGACAGGAGGCTCGGAGTAATAACAGGAAATGTGATGATGGAAGTAGGAGGCTGAAGTAAATTGAAGAAGGGACCATGAACCAAAGAATGCAAGTGACCTCTAGAAACTGAAAAGGGCAAGGAAATTGATTCTTTCTTCAGATCTTGAAGAAAACAAAACAAAAGATCTCTGCTGATATCTTTATTTAAGCCCACTGAGACCTATTTTGAACTTACAACCTACAGAATTATAAAATGATGAATTGATATTTTATATTTTTAAATTGGTGGTATTTTGTTACAGCAGTAATAGCAAACAAAAATAAACCAATGAAGGGGTTTGTGATTGTTTCTTTTTGGTGCTGTAAAAACTCAGATTTCCCAGAACCTCTGAATGAACAGTTAAAAATGGGTGATTATTTTGGGATATATTTATTTTTCATTGAAAAGGATTTCTAGGGTAAAATCAAATCCAAGTTCAGCTACTATAGAGCTTGTGAGTCGATATATGTTTCCAACACTTTGCTGTAAAAAGTAAGTGAAAGCTGGCAGAAATACTTTAGCATCTGGGAAATGCTAACAATTGTGATAATCTGATAAAAGGTATAGATAGTAAATTTCTGAAGAAATGCAAACATAATTTTATCATCTTAAGAGTTCAACATCTAAAAGTGTTCCTGGCAACTGGTGGTCAAAAATATTATGGGATAAATGTGTGATTGAATCACCTGCTCTTTCCAGAAACATCAGCTGTTTCTAATCTTCAGGCACTTGCTCATCTTTTATTCTCTGGCAGAAAGGGCCTCCTTTCTCTACTCAACTCCTGCCTCTCCATCTTTTCACCAACCAACTTACAAACATCCTTGATATCATCTTAAATGTCATCTCTCTGGAGTCCTATTCCCTTGTGTAAACAATATTTGGTGTGTATCTTTTGTAATAATAGCAATAGTTATTGTTACTATTAACTATTCCCAGTTTATTTTCTCCAACACAAGATGATCTCCTCCCAATGAGTAAACCGCCATATTCAGGTCTGTTTCTCTAGCATCTATGCACAATGTGTGGAACTCAGAGTTAATTGAGTGCAGAGATGAATTAATAAATTAATATGTGAAAGTGTGCATGAATAAACATATTAATACTTGCATCTAAGAGGGAAGCTTCTTTCTAGGTTCTTCTCCTAATTATTGTATTTCTCTGTTTACTGTCATAGCTACTTAGACGACCTAAGGACCTATTCTCCTTTGAATGTAGAATGGACTCAGATAAAAAAAAGTTAGTTCCAATACTTCCTTTGGAAAAGCTCACCTTGACTATTAAGTTATATTTTCTGATCTTAAAAAAAAAAAATAAAACCAGGTTTAGATGGGATAATGTTTACATGCTCTTTTAGAGGTTATGTTCAAATTCTTGGTTTCTTTAAGTTGAGGCCCCTAGAACTAATCCTAGAATCATGGTTACACGTAACCTTGATGATTGGAGCTTAAACTGTTAAGTGTTCAGCACTGACACACTTAACAGAAAAGCTATCCAGTGCTGCTACCGTTTCTTGATAATACGCACTAGAAACCCCAAACTCAGATGTCTAGTAAGATTTATGTGAAATAAGACCATGATTCCTCAGCATACATCTCCTGCACTACAGTGTAATGACTCCATTCTCTGTCACACTGTCTTTAGAGCATATAGAGTCAGAAATGCCACAAATACACCTGGATGGCCATTATTCCATTTCTAGACCCTCAGATTTTCTCTTTTTCATATATCCAAGTCCCTTCTTTCTCTTTTTAATATATCCAAGTCCCTTATACTCTATTATAGATAACTGGCTCATCACATTATTATTTTGTTTAAATGCTGATATCTTACCAAAATGTATTTTAGAGCAAAATGTTATTTGTTTCTTCTGCATTTTGTTGAAAAATGAGTATTAATTTAGGAAATGTTACAATAATTTCTCAAATTATTGGGATGATATTTTGAACTTGATAAAATATTCAAATTCTGTATTTCATATTTTTGTTCAAGCACAAAAGAAACAAAAAGATCCAGCACCTTTTGTTCATCACCAGCTTCAGGTTTAGACATTCTGGAAGATTATATGCTGTCAGTTTTTGAAATCCTGCAGCATTTAAGATAGACTGGTTACGTTTCATATATTGTTAGTTATTCTTGTTGTTGTTATTATGATCGTTCTGATGCTGAAAACACTTCAATGCACTAACACATTACTTTCACAACAATCAAATAAGGTAGGAATTTCCAATAATGTTATTTAAACACTGGTAAACACACAGCATCCACAGATTAATAATGGCCAGGTCACTGGGAGTAGTTGATAGCCAACATACTCACTGGCACATCTCAGCCGAGCATCAGCCCTGAAATACGTTTTTATTGCATGTATGAGGAAAGGAAGAAGAGCAGAAGTATTATGACTCACAGCTCCCAGTGGGGCTCTTGTTCTCCTGATCAAAGTCCACTGCTCTTTCTACTAAATACAGCCATATAAAAATATTTGCCTTTTAAAATAAAATAATACATACTTTAAAAAAGATCAGATTTAAAAGTGTATATATGTATGTATGTATGTATAGATCATACATATATATGTGTAGTATGCATAGAGATCCATAATAAAAATGATAAAAAACAGAAAAGTTTAATGAAGTATTTTATTTAAAATTTAGAGAAAACTGATGTATTCAAATTTTATATCACTTTTAATCTTTTTATCAATTTCTACAATTGTTTACTTTTAAAATGTGAGTCAGTTTACATTTTCGTGCATTGTAATTTATGCTTATGCTTCCCTATTACTTGTTTATTATGCAATAGAAATATAGTTCAAACTACAAATGTGAGCCACATATGTAATTGGAGAAGTTTTCCCAGCCATATATATAAAGTAAAAAGAAATTGGTAAAATCAATCTTAATAATACATTTTCTTTCATTCAATATATAAAAATACAATTTCCATCTAATTTATAAATTATTAAAATACTTTACATTGTTTCATCTTAGTAGGTCTTCAAAATCAAGAAGCTATGTTATACTTACATCACATCTTAATTTACACTTGCCTCATTTCAGCTGCTCAATAGCCACATGTAGCTCACGGCTACCTATTGGCAATCACAATTACAGATGTTTAAATATTGTAATCTCAAAGATCATTGCCCCTTTGTTGTTTTTTTCTTATAGGGTTTATCATGTTAAAACACTTAGAAAACATTAAAAACATGTGTGCACTTGTCTAGAAACCTGAGATTCTTTGGGTGAGTGACTGTTTTCATCCTGGCGCTCACATGAATTGATTTCAGAGGCAAACCTTAGACTCAAAAGCCATCTCTGGAAACTATGCACTGATTAGAGACTCAGAGGTGTTAATCCCCAAGCTATCCATAAAAATAGACTCTTGTACTTTTTTCCTCTGAACTCACAAACAAACTAGATTGAATCATATGATTGAAAAGTAAAACTATACTTACAAAGTAGAAAAGATCAGAATGATCAATGATGACTGTAGAGAAAAAAAATTATTAAAATCAAGAATAATACTAGAAATCAGAACTATGAATATTGGAGGCATAAAAGCTAAAAAGCACCTTATTTCTATAGGTTGAATTACAATATAGTAATGTAGAAAAAATATAATAGCTATTTAATTTTTTTTATAATTTCGACTTTTATTTTAGATACAGAGTGTACATGTGCAGGTTTGTTACATGGGTATATTGTATCCAGTTCACCACTGATGGGCACCTAGGTTAAATCCACGTCTTTGCTATTGGAATAGTGCTGCAATAAATATATGAGTGCATGTGTCTTTTGGTAGAATAATTTTTTTCTTTTGAATATATACCTAGTAATGAGACTGCCGGGTCGAATAGTAGCTCTGTTTTAAGTTCTTTGAAAAATTTCCATACTGTTTTCCACAGTGGCTAAACTAATTTACATTCCCATCAACAGTGTATAAGTGTTCTTTTTTCTCCACAACCTCACCAGCTTATGTTAATAATTGATTTTTTTAACAATAGCTATTCTGACTGGTGTGAGACGGTATCTCATTGAGGTTTTGATTTGCATTTCTCTTATGATTAATGACGCTGAGCATTTTTTCACGGTTGTGGCAGCTTTATGTCTTCTTTTGAGGTGTCTCTTCATGTCCTTTGCCCATTTTTTAATGAGGTTATTTGTTTTTTGGTTGGTGATTTGTTTAATTCCTTATAGATTCTGGATATTAGACTTATGTCATAAGCATAGTTTGCAAATAGTTTCTCCCATTCTGTAAGTTGGTTGTTTGCTCTATTGATTATTTATTTGGTGTGCCAAAGCTCTCTAGTCTAATCAGGTCCCATTTGACAATTTTTGTTTTTATTGCAATTGCTTTTGAAGACATAGTCAAAAATTCTTAGCCATGCCTGATGTCAAGAAGGGTATCTCCTAGATTTTCTTCTAGGACTTTTATAGTTTGAGGTCTTACATTTCAATCTTTGATTTATGTTGAGTTAATTTTTGTATACGGAGAAAGGTAGGAGTCCAGTTTCATTCTTCCACATATGACATAACAGCATGTGATTAATCTGCTTATAGTAATATCTGTTTAAGGAAAAATTTGCAAGAAATCAAAAAGAAAAAGCAGTGTCCTTTTAATGTCATAAGGAGCATTGCTAACTAGTTCTTTCAAAGGATATTTTACCTATCTAATGAATATTCCAGAATTAATATTACATGTTAACTAACAGATTTTTCATGTTACAGATGCAAATTATCTATGTATAGTAAAATATGATAACCCTAAATATTACGGTTTTGTTCCCTGTAGGTTACTAGCAAATTTTATATATAACTCAGCAATTTTTCCTACATTATTTATACACTTTTCAATACCTCAAATGCCCTATGGAGGAGTCTTTCCATTTTATTCATCCCTTCAAATAATAAGTATAATAAAATATTTAACATATATTTATTTTATATTTGTATGAGGGCCAATTTTTAATTTTTCAAAAATTATACTTTAGCAAAGGCAGTGTAGTGTGTCCTACATTAAGATATGTTTTCATCAAAATATTTAGTAGCTGAAGTGAATTTGTTATGGCTTCAAAATCTTGAAAATACATTTTACTTCTGTGGTTTCTAGTGTTTTCATTTATAGAATGAAGAGGCTGGCTTCAAAAATTAGGGGTCTCTTGTGATTTTAAGATGCCATGGCTCAGTAATTTTTGAATTCTGGACCATCCTGTACAACTAGTAGTATCTGTTTTAAGATGCTTTCTTAAAATATCATGTCTCAAAATTTGGCTGTAATAAACGCCAGTTAAGAAGGAGTCCACAGAAATAGACAGATTTGTTGTATAAAGGCCCTGCTTTGTGAAACTTGAGTTTCTAATGTTGTGGTAGAACATTTGGATGCTCTACAGCACTCTACCCACAGGCTGGAGCCCACTAATTTGCTGTTGCATGCAAAATGTCTAGCCAGATCTGGTGTTGTCTGGAAGGGGACAGGAAGATTATAAGTAGTTAAATTCCAAATAAGATAAACAATAGCATCTTCATTATAAACATCTGGAAAACCTGCAACCCTGTTTGTATTTTTATAACAACATATGGGAAATTTCAGAGAAAGTATTGCAGGAAAGAAATAAGATTTCAAGTCTTAAGAAATTCAAGCTACTGATAGACTGAATACATAAATGAAAGATGTGCAGACCACAAATGACCACAAAACTCTAATCTACAACTGAACATCAGCCTACAAACTCTATAGCAACCAGCCCAGAGGACAAACAACAACCTCTGCTACAATTGACCAGAGCAGTCAGGCTTTGGTCAGTGACTGGCAGCTTCTCTCTTTTGTTCCCACTTTCAGCTCAGAGTCAACCAGAGAAAGTCAAATATGATCTCCAAATCAATCATATAAGATGAACCACCTGTTGTTAGCATGACTCCAAGTCCTCCATGGCAACAATCTCTAAAGACAGCATACTTAAAACCTTCCTTTTTTAATCACTATACAGCTTTCCCACTTATTTGCCTGCCTTTGAATTCCTGAAAAAAATGCAGTGGTAGTGGCTCTCCTGCTACAGCAACCTGTGACAAAACTGCCTTTGTTTGCTACTTTTTGGGTAATCTTTCTTTTATGTGGAAATGCCATAGTTGTTCTGTATGTCCAATCAAGACTTGGTCATTATAACAGCCCTAGATTTTGAGAGAACTCTTTAACTTGGATGTTTGTGGCTTGTGAAGCTTGGACTACTGTGCTAAGTCCATGCTGAGTCTGAATCCTGCTGCCTAGAGTTTCTCAAATTTAGTCTTAATTTGATACTCAGATTTTGTTTTAGGTTACTATTTGATTGTCATCCTGGTGGATCACACCATTTCTTTGAATCGTATTTTGCTCTCTAAACCTGTTGCTCAAGCCTGCCCTTCAGACCAGCAAGTTTGAGGTTCTCATCAGACAAGCATCTGTTTGAACAAACTTTGCTATGTGTCATAAATTAAGTGGGATGAGGTTCTCCTTGTGTTTCAATGTTTTGTCATAGGAACATGACTTTTACCCAGATAGAGCATTGTCTTTGGTTTTCTGCCTGTACAGGGCCCAGATTATTGTGTCTGCTTTTGGAGGTGGCTAACCATCAGGTTAACAGCTTAAGTCACGAAGTGCACAGGCTTCACTTTCAACAAAATATTACCTTCTCTTATAGAGCGGCCTAAGTATAAATCTTCTCTTCCAGGAAAAACTCTTGATTCATATATGTACTCTCACTCTAACACTGATTCTTGTGTTTATCTCTCCAAACAGCATTACTTTATCAAGAGCAATTTGGACTTCAATAGCCAGTCTGAAGAACATTTGACTTGAACAAAATTATTCGAGAGGAATTTAAAAAAAAAGGATTAATATTTTTAGACATAATGGACATTTGTTATTGCTATGCAGAATCCTCCAAACAAAATTCTGAATCAAAATTTGCTTCACTAACAGATTTGTTTTCCAAAGCTAATGAACAATTTGATGAAATTAAGTAACAACAAACTTGACTCATCAACCTTGGAAATCCTTCCTTTCCTTGTCCTCCAGTTACCTTCCTATATCACGTTCTCTCTCTTCTTCTCATCTTTCTGATTTCTTTCCTTCTGTATTTCTTTATATTTCTCCTTTTCCCTTTTTATCAGCCTCCCTATCTTTATTGGATGATTCTCCTAAAACCCCCAAATGCAAGTTGACTCTAAATATTCGTATTTCATATGAGTTGGGTATACTGAGCAGCTGTAAAATTTAAACCTTGAACCTGACCTGAAATAAGAGCTGTACTTCATGAATTCCATAAACCTAGATAAAATCTAGCATGGAAGGGTTTAGAATTCTTTTGAATGCATATGACCCAAGGATACCCTTCCTATTTCAACTTATACCCATATTTGGTTGGAACCTCAAATACTAAATCCTGGGTGAGCTGGGACTTCTATTCTCCATAAAGCTTTGTCACTCTGCTGCCTGCCTTTGAGCCTCTGTTAAAGGTAAGTGATGTTGGCTTACTTTTTTACTGAAGCAAACTCTGATTAAATAGTTTCTGTCTGTACTCATTCATTTAGGTGGTCTTTGCTTATTTCCACAATACTGAAGGGGAAATAGGTGGAAAGCCATTCTTAATGAGAAGTTATAATCAGAAACTTAGTTTACAACCTGGTAAAAAATAACTGGGAGAAAGACACACTCTTTCTGCTAGCCCAGATGCTTAGACAGAATTGTATAAAGAGCCAATATCATCGAGTCCTAAGGATTTTCTATGAAAAAAACAAGGAGCTGACATAAGGAATATTCAGGAACAAAGTGAAAGAAAATCTTCTTTTAAAGCGATGGCTATATACTTAAGGAGCTCATCAAAAATATACTTTTATATTTAAATAGCTTATGTAAGCTCAACAGTGTCCAAGTTAAAACGGGGAAAATTGTTTTGTCCCTTATTCTTAAGGTAGATACCAAGGAGAAATGTCACACGATGCATTAAGTATTCTAGTGCAGTTGGAATACTTCTAGAACTTAACATGGAATGAATGAGCTGTGGTTCTCTCATAATTTCTATGGTTTTGCACAGTCACTTCCCTTCTGTGGGCACAGATTTCTTATTTGTAAAATGAGAAAGTCAACTAGATTGCTAGGAGCACTTTCTACATATGAAAATTTTGAATAAAATGTGAATGATATTCTGTTTCTCCAAACTAGTAAAAACCCATTATATGACATATGATGAGTTCCAAGAGTTTGTGTAGACACTGTAAACCAAAAATAAAATTGGAAGGCCCCCCCACAACCATCTGAATGGACTCCCTCCTGGGCCAGGGAACTCAAAAATTTAACCAGAAAGACTGGTTCAGGCCATGATGGAAAATGGAGATCTGACATGCTTCCTTATACCTTTCCAGGATAAATATCAACACAGACCTTAAGTCTAATAAGAAACATTTACAGTCTATTTTTTCTGAAACCTTCTATTTGGAGGCTTCAGCTGCAAGATAAAATCTTGGTCTCCAAAACCCCTTTTCTTAACTCAGACATTCCTTTCTACTGATAACAACTCTTTCAACCAATTGCCAATCAGAATATGTTTAAATCTATCTATGACCTGGAAGATACCCACCCCCACCCCCCGAGTTGTCCCACCCTTTCAGATCAAACTAATGTAAATTTGACATGTACTGATTGATGTCTCATGTCTGCCTAAAATGTGTAAAAGCAAGTTGTGCACCTACCACCTTGGGCACACGTCCTCAGGAACTTCTGAGGCTGTGTCTTGGGCACGTTCTTAATCACGGCAAAATAAAATTTCTAAATTGACTAACACCTATCTCTGATATTTTGAGTTCACAATACTGATCTTTAAGGATATATTTATGACCTTAAATGAAGTCAGTCTGAAACAACCATATTTTGTTTTAAATAATGCACATAGCAGGAAAAAAAACAATTTTTATATTGCTCCTTTCTAACTCAGAAAAGTATTTGGCAATTCAATTATGTTAATATTAAAAGTTTCAGTGGCATACAAAACCTCACTAGACTTTCTCAACTCTTGGAAGCTCAATTTCATTCCCTTGGCCTTATTCCGATGGCTTAGCAATGAGTATTCTTTTATTATTCTTATTATTTGTTATTTTCTTTGCTGAATTCTCTATTCAAATGATAAGTACGGCAATCAAGTAAGATAATGCACTGAGAATACAGTCTTATAGAATCTAGTACTCCCTAAATATAAAGCTGCATACTGATAATGCTGCCTAGAAGTGCAGTATAGGAAACATAAATTTGTTAGATACGTTTACATTTTCAAAGATAACTCACATCCTGGGCTCTTCAGTGTAGGAGTTTGTGCACTCAGATCCTTCTTTACAGGACCATTTAAATAAAGTGCCATTTTCTTCAGTTCCATATGGAAATATTACACAATAGATTTAGAAGAAGTGGTTTGGTTTGGTTTATTTTTTATTAGTAACATATTGCAAAACTGATGATCTTCAATTTGGAATGCAGATTTCCCTTCTATCCAAATTCAGGACCATAGGATGAGCACAGGCCAGACATTTTTTTTTTTTTCTAACAGCAAAGAAAACGTTTAATCTCTCTGAATGTTAATGTGCAGCTCTGGACTTTCTAATTTGATTTTATTTCTTTGCTCTTCTCTTTTAGTTCCCTCAGGCTCAGCCTTAAAATTGTTTACCAACTGCTGTTTACAATCACAATTACTGTATATTCTAATAACATAATGAGGAAATGGAATAGACAGTCCCCAAGGTTTGTATTTCTGTCAAAATGTGCCAGAAGGTCCAGGTTGCGGTGGGATTCAGTGGAAGGATTCAGTTCTTTAATTGTTTCACTGTTCTTTATCTTTTTTTTCGAACATGTCTTAAGTCAGACTAATGAATGCCACATGCAGAAACCTGCTTAGGTTCTTACGTGGAGTGTCAGGTCGAGCCGTTTATGCCATGCCAACAGGAACCGGAGGAAAAACGTTACCTGGTCAGAATCAAATCCAGCACAGTCTTCTTTCATTCAACAAATACGTATTGTGAAATTCACATGAGTCAGGCACTCTAGATCTCAAACGTGCTAGTGGTGAGCACTAATAATATCCCTGCCTTCAGGAAGTTTAGAGTCTAGTGCAGGAAAGAGACATCAAACATTTTCCATCCAACTCCATGTAAACACACTTTAATGTCTCTGTAGATTGTAGTGAATCATCATGCATTAATTTACTCCAGTTTACTACAAAATTATGTGAAGGATTCATTGATACCCTCATGTTCATTTCTTATTCTTCCCATCTAGTTGAATTCCTATGGCTAACACTTCTGAATGCTCTTATCAATTTTACCAATGACTTCTAAATTGCAAATCCAATAATTTTTTTTTCAGTTTTCACCTTATTGAACTTATTTAACTGCATATGACCAATTCTTTTCTCATTTTTTATTTAAATGTGGTTTTTATTTGAACACCAAAGATCTACCTACCTACATATCTATGTATGTTTGTCTATCTAGTTATTATCTATCTAGTTAGCTGTCCTCGATCATCCATCACCTATCCTCCATTTTTCCCTCTCCCCTCATCATTCTTTTCAGTCAAAGATGTCCGAATATTCTTCTTCAGTCCTCTTTGCTCCTTCTTCCTCACATGCCGGACCTCTCTAACTGCTGGAGTATCCGGACTCAGTTCTTGATTCTATGCTCACTTCCCATGAGATCTCATCCAGCTTCATTGATAAATACTATGCACAAAGGTTACATAAAATTTTGGATTCACATTTGACCAGTCTTCTAGAGTAGCATTAATAAATACCTCAAACATGTTTATATCCAAACTGTTGAATTCTATTTCCCATATCCAAGCCTTTAAAAAATGGTAAGAATAATAAAAAAAATACAGCTATTTCTTGTCTTCTTCAGCCCAACAAATCCAATGGCACTCACCTGGTTATTTGTGGCACATATCAAACCCTTTGAGAGCATCCTGCCAATGCTGCTCTAGTATAAATCCAGAATCTGAGCCCTTCCTCTCTATCACTCTTCTTTATTCCAGCCTGTTATGTTTGTTCTCCTAAATAGTCTCCTCGGTTGTGCTCTTTACCCCACCATCTATTTTCTATATGGGAATAAAAGTAACTGTCTAAAACTTAAAACCCTGTCACTCTAATGGCTCCCAACCTCCCTCAGAGGTAAAAACGAAGCCTTAATAGTCTTTGTTATCTTTTGTGTTCTGGCTTCAGACTAGCTCCTTTACCTTGTTCTCTATCCCTCCCTCCCAGGGGTCCTTCTCTCTGGCCACACTGGCCTGCTTTTCACTCTTTGAAACACCAAATGTAACTCTGCACTGGGAAATATGTTCTTGACATTCTTTTTGCCTGAAAAAATACTCATGTGGTTCCCTTCCTGACTCCTTTCAAGTCATAACTCGTATGTGGTCTTCTCCGGGAGACCCTCGTTCACAGCGTAAGAGACATCTTGTGACAAGGGAGTACTGTCATCAACCATTACTCTTTACCATTTTCTACTTATTCTTCTTCTGAATAAATTACTGAGAGACACGATGCAGGGTAGCTTCAATCAAAAGCACATTCATGATACTTGAATCCTCTCCTTTTCTAAAATCCTTCCTAAATTGTATTCTGGTGATATGATCTTGGGAGAAAAGAAACAAAGAATCTTCTTTTCGTTATTTTAGTTGGTTATTTTCAGTCCAGAGGTAACACTAATCAGGTTCTCACTCCCTTTCCCTGGCTCAGGCTTTCCCCCTTCCCAGCTGTCTAGTGCTGAGAAAAGAAAGACAATTAAAAGACATCTCTAAGCTTATTATTGTAGGCCTCAGAGACAGAAGGGAAGAGAATAAATAAAGGGTAATTTTACAATTTCTTCACTTCTCTCAAAATCTGGTTCTATAGTGACTCTAATATTGGCTCTAATATGTCATTAATGATTTGAAGAATCCATCCTGGAGTATGTTAGCATGAGGGGCAGAGGGAACTTCAAATGCATCACAGGTATTTTTTGACTATCTTTAGAGGTTTTGTGATAGAGAGAAAAAACATGTTAAAAATAGAGTATCCCACCCATCACATCATGTTGTAACCCTCAGATATATAAAATAGAATTTATTTTAAAAAATAGAAATAAATGCAATGTATTTAAAAGCAATGTATATCCATTCCCAAGACCTTCCAACTACACTTCACAGGATGGTCCTCTGCTCATTTATTTCTATAACTATAACATGCATGGACAGATTAAATCTGTTTATTTAAGTTGACAACAAATGTTTAAAAGGTAAATGGATTGTTCAACTGCACTTACTTAATACAATTATTTTACATGGTTTTCATTGTAGATTAGGAGAAGAACTCTCAGAATCTGACAAAGCATTTAGCTTTAGAATTGGAAGAATCTTAAAGACCATCCAATCCAACTATTGGAATCTTATCATTGAAGATTTTATACTATTTTCTTTAAATATATTTTTTCATAATGTGATTATCTGCTGGTTAAATGCCTGCAATTGATATTAGGGAAGAAAGGCAAAGACACACACACTCACTATATAATGGCCACTTTTTAGATTAGTGGTTATACAATTTTATATTCTTCATTTGTATCCAAATGTTTGAACACATTGAAAATATTACTGGTGCTAAACTTACTTTCAGTGCTCCAAACCTGACAGCTTTTGATAGTTATCTTTAATGCTTTAAGCAGTGATAGATTAGGATACAAAAGAAAGAACTGAAATTAATAGAATTAACTGAGTCTATAGTTCAGAATAAATTTATAGATAAAGTCATTGTAAAAAGTAGAAACTGCCAACCTAGCAAGAGATGGTTAACAAATATTTGTTGATCGGTTGACTAAATTTTACTGTAAAGTTTTTCTTTTCTTTCTTCCATTTTTATACACATAAAGAACAAATTCCCCAGTCTGTTCATTCTGGTATAGGTGTTTTTATTTCCTTTTCAGCTTCTTATTTTAAAATTAAAACTGTTCTTTCAGTAAGCAAGAGCATCTAATTAAGGCTTCCAAATGTTATACAGCTTTATGATTCAAGAAATCAACAGGGGCATGAGTAATAGGTTATATGCAACCTGGGATTTTAGTTTAATGGAAACATATGTAAGACAGGGACAAGGGAGATGCAGATCACTCAGTTGGACTCTGCAGCAGTTAGCATGGAACATATGTCCAAAGCCGACTTATCTGTTCATTTCATTGTCATTTGAACATCCAAATATTTGAACACATAATACAAAAAATTATTTGGCCCGAATTTTATTTCAGGGTTCTAACTGTAATAGTTTGATAGTTTTCCTTAAAAACTTTTAAGCAGTAAAAGATGAGGACGTACAAGTATTTCAATCAATGGGGCCAATTAAAGTTGTTGTTCACAATGAATTTACAAAGTCATTGTCAAGAGTAATTTAATAATGTGTGCACTATTGTGGAAGATACAGAGGAAGTTTATCTAAATAATGATTGCCATAAAATCTTACATATTTTTCATTGAAAAGTCGTAAGTCTCCTTAAAGGAGAGCATCTTCTTCTTTAACGGTTGTATTCTAAACCTACCATCAGTTAATGTATATGCTTTGATTAGCTTTTTAAGTGGAAATAGTAAACTTGCAATTTATAACATTGATTTTTTTGATAATAACATAAAAATATATTGAGGGTTTTCACAACCCTCAAAAATGTCTTAGGATCCATTCTGAATGCTAAAAAAAATCTTAGAAGGGTAGAAACTTACATTTGAAAAGGAATTATATCCCATAGGAAGAACAGTTTTTGAAATCTAGCAACTCTAGATTCATGTATCTGCTGTTGCCAGGGAAACACTATTTACCTACTGTGAGACTTAATTTGTTTCACAATTAAAGGAGGAATTAGAATAGCTGCTTTAAACAGTTATGATGAGGTATAAATATAATCTTGTATGGAAAGTTCCTAGCACATTGCCTTTTACAAAGCAAACACTTTAAACTTGAGTTTGGGTTGTTCATGTTGTTGCTATTGTTCTTTATTTTCTTTCCATTTCCCTTTCCTGAAAAGGGCCTCAACTATTATGTAAGACAGACATTCAGCTAGTCATCTCTGCTACATCCCACCGAATGGTCCTGAGCATCTGATCAATGTTGCCCCTGTGAGCGAATTGTATTGAAATAGAAGATAGAAAACAATTATTTCTACATGGGCCAAAATACATATTTATCTAAGCCAGAGCATACAGAATTATCTGAAAATGTGCCAGCATGTCGTGACTTTTGGCAATAGTGCACTTCACATTATTAGAAATGGGCAGTGTAAGACAAGTTGGCTTTGGGAGGAAGTCCTCTGCATCAAAGCGAGTTTATAAAATACTGTGAGCAGGAGTATTTCTTTGTTCATATATCAGGGAATAGTAAAAATAACAAAGTGGCCCATATGCAAATATAACAACATGCACTTTGTCCTACATTATGACTGACCATTGCCTCCCAAATAGAAAATAAATGGCTTTTGGACCAACTCCAGTATTCTCACTTTACAATTAGAGTATGTACATTTCTCTTTTTTTACTGACAATTTCTCAAAAGTTCAGAGTAGAGATATTGACTTTCACTGGATGGAGTGCTAATCATTACCACTTTTTGGAGTGAATCCAAGACAATAAATTTGAGCAGGCTATAAGCTATGGTTGACTTGTAATGCTGAGCTGGGAGATTAAAAACCAACATGCAAAAATAACCTTGAATCTATTGGATAGGAAATAACTTGAACACCGAATGAATTAGGTTTCAGGTGTAAAGCCTGATTAAGAAAGTGATAAAGAGATGGCTAATGAAAGAAAAGCAGGGATCTTGATAAAAAATGTACTGGAAAGCAATTTAATCAAATTGTTATTTTTCATTTATTTCTAAAATATTTAGCATGTGTCCTGGGCAATATATACATAAGTAGATGAAACTAACATACTGCCATTTTTTCAAAGAAAATAAAGTTACTAAGGGAAACACATAGACGAGCAAATATTAATCTGAAATAAATTACTGCTATAAATTACACATGAGCAAGATACCACACGAAGTAACACTACATAATTAAATCAGTTATGGTTTTGCGAATGATAAGACATTAAAAGTGCATATTAAAATGTAAGTCATATATGAATCATGGAAGAAGTCACTCCAAAGTGAGAGAAGGGTATGTGCAAGTATTTAATGTAATGCTCAGTGAGCAATTTTTATGACGAGGGTACAAGGCACTTGTAAAATGAGGTAACATGGGCAGAAAAGGAGGCTGGACAAGTGGGTTGGAACAGGATTGGGAACATTGTCATATTTAATGATACACCAGTTGCAAGTCGAACACTGAATAAAAGTGAAATAAATCAGGATATGTTTGGAAACGTTAAAAAGTGATGGCAGACTGCCTTGATGTTGGGAGTCCTATCTAGTCTTTCCTACTTGATGGTATGCTACTTGTCAATAGGTAAATGGAC
The DNA here is from genome assembly GCF_000001405.40 of Homo sapiens. Lineage (NCBI taxonomy): Eukaryota > Metazoa > Chordata > Mammalia > Primates > Hominidae > Homo > Homo sapiens. The sequence goes on from NC_000002.12 coordinate 83,472,761, forward strand.
AGATAAATAAATAAATTAGAAAGACCCAGTCAACCATAAAAACAAGGAATGGGTATCTCCAGGTGGCATAAATATTTTTTAAAATCCGTAACTTAAAAGTGGGCGTGTCGGTGACCTCGTGGGACATGAGTAAAGGCTGTAGATGAAAGCTTGGAACTTGACACCCTGTATAAAGCTAGGATGTGCCCGGCTAATTTTTATTTATTTATTTATTTATTTATTTTTGTATTTTTAGTAGAGACGGGGTTGGTGGCAGGCGCCTGTAGTCCCAGCTACTCCGGAGGCTGAGGCAGGAGAATGGCACGAACCTGGGAGGCGGAGCTTGCAGTGAGCCGAGATTGCGCCACTGCACTCCAGCCTGGGCGACAGAGCGAGACTCCGTCTCAAAAAAAAAAAAAAAGCTAGGATGCGAAAAATTTAGGTTTACTTTAAAAATGTGTATGGCAGCATGTTGGAGTCACATGGGACAATGGGGTATAGGATGGGGCAGAGTGGGACATCAAGTCAAGAATTTATTCTTAGTATATAACACAAAAAATTGTGTACCCCAAACTAAACCAGAAATTCTTACAGATTGTTATTAAACAGTAAAGTATAAACTGCTCCCGTAACAATGAATACCATAGAGCCCAGAAAAGTCAGAAACTGAGTACTACCATGTCAATATCCCTTTGGTTAACTCTACAACCCAGGGTCTCCATGGGACTTCTGATGGAGGCTGTTTGTGTAAGTAAATAAACAAATAAATATCAGAGAAAAACCGCAACGTACTCATGTGTGTCCAACACCATAAAAATAAGTCAGCAATAAACTTTGTAAGCTATAGCCCAAGAATTAAGGTATTAATAAATTAACATAAAATGGAGCCAAAAAGTTTTAAAATCCTAAATATAAAGGAAAACTATGATTAAAAAACACTTGATATAAGAAGAAATGGAAACTCTGAATTATCCTAAACTACTAAAGTTTATACATTTTATAAAACTCTTCCTTCAAAATAGATATGAGATCCAGAAAGTCTTAGAGTCAAGTTATATAAAGACTTTATGTAATGGATAAATAGCAACCTTATACAATTCAGAGAAATTTTAAAAGAAGTAACACCACCCAACTCACTCTAAGACTACTCTAATTGTTATAGCAAAATAGAAATGAGATAGTAAGGCTGGGCACAGTGGCTCACACCTGTAATCCCAGCACTTTGGGAGGCCGAGGCGGGCAGATCATGAGGTCAAGAGATCGAGACCATCCCGGCCAACATGATGAAACTCTGCGTCTACTAAAAAATACAAAAAAAAAAAAAAAAAAAAATTAGCCAGGCATGGTGGTGCATGCCTGCTGTCCCAGCTACTCGGGACGCTGAGGCAGGAGAATCACTTGAACCCGGGAGGCCTACATCGCTCACTTGGAAATGAGAAGAAATGAGACAGTGAAAGAAAAGTTAAATAAAGGCTAATCTCACAAATGCAAAGGCATATGTGCAAAATTATATGTAAAATATTAACTTTACCTATAAGTACATTAAAAAGCATCACAAATATGGTTTATTTCAGAAATACATAAAGATGTAGAGAACATAGAATCTTGTGGAAAAGACAAACAGAAAACAAGTACATGATGACACCGAGACCAGAACCAGACATACACGTTTGCGAAAAACTTTTCCAAATCTATAAAGCTGTGTTTATATTTTACTCCATCATCTTTCAATTATATATCTAGGTAAATATTTATTTGTGTTACCCTTGTTTACATATGTAAGATTGTTAATTTCACTATTGTTTATAACAATAAAAAATCTAAAGTTCTGTTTCTAAGAAAAAATAAAAATACATTGTGATAATTCACATTGCAGAAGATCTTAGAACAGTTAAAATCAGTGAACTTAAAATACATTGATAAATTTTAAAAATACATTTACAAGTAAAATACCAAGTTGCAGAGTCATACATATAGTATTTTAACTGTTATTACTTCTCAATTTCCAAGACCATACTATTTTTATAATGTTACATATATGTATTACATGGATAATCATACATATTAATCATCTATTATAGATTTAAATTACATTTAAATTATAGATGTAAATTATAGACATAAATTATAGATTTAATCATATAGATTAAAACTATATGCAAAATATCCATATATGTTTTCTGTGTATAGAGGAATGGAAAAAGCATAGGAGAGATTTATAAAAAGGAATTCAACCTTAACAATCTTTATTTCTTCATAAAACTGATGCGTGAACAATAAAACAATCTAATTCTGGACAGTAGGTATCCAACCATTCACTATAGTTTTGTTTGTGTATTTTTTAGCTCAATTTTTAAAAATTGAAATAAAATAAGAAGCAATAAAATGAATGCAGGTAGAAATTAGCGTTAAGGACTCCATGTTGGAGGTGATAGCAGTGATCTAGGTGAGGACTCAAGCTAACCAAATGGTTTACAACGTAGAGGTCCAGAAAGGAATGAAGCAATTGGACAGACAGTGAGAAAATTGAAGAAAGGTTAAGCCAAGTCCTATTATTCCACACTGGTCATATGTCATCTTTGGACCTAAATTACAATATGCTACAGTCTTAGAGTAGAAGAGAGCCTCAGGAAAGAACTATCCCAAGTCCTATGGGATGAACACATGATAGAAAAATCCAATAATATAGATGGGATGCAAGAAGAGGAGCAGCAGGTATATGGGAGAAAGCCATGCACTAATGTGGAAAATCTAATGAGCGTGTGTGTATGTTTTTAAGTATATGTGTTGATAAATATCTAACATTTTTAATAGAGATGTTGAACAATGTTGTGCAATCATCACCTCTATCAAGTTTTGACATTTAATCACCCTAAAAAAAAAAACACTCACATACCCAATAGAATCGCTACCCACTCCCCAGTCCCCATCCTCTGGAAACCACCAATATGCTTTCTGATTCTATGTGTTTATCTGATCTGGATATTTTACATAAATGGAATGGTAAAATATATCACTTTATATGTCTGGCTTATTTCACTTAACGTAAGATTTTTGAGCTTCACCCAACTTGGTGCATGCATCAGTACTTCATTTCTTTTTATGGCTGAATAATATATTAGTGAAGATCTCTGAAACCAATTTTTTAGTTCCTGAATTTATGCTTGCTAATTGTTTTGGTTTGGTTTGGTTTTCCTAGCAATCATATAAACAAGCTTCAGTATTGCTTAATGCATATCTAATGTAGTAGCTCTTATATGTCTAAACTACTTTTGCTTTGCATGGAAATTTCTTTAATTCTCTGAATTTCACAGTTTAGTACTGCTCTCTCCCCTAGAATTCTAAAAAGTACTAATGAGATACCCAAAAGCAGCCTGCCCCACACACGTCCACACAATAACTATCTTGGGTCTTAGCTTGTCCATGTACTGGGAGAAAGACTGAAAATATTAATGATTACCTACCTAGTGAAATTGGATTAATTCCACCAAAATGTTCCCAATGGTTTCCAAACATGATTTTAATATTTGATGGGCAAATGATGCCAAATTTTAACTTTATTAATTTATTTCTTTAGGTTTTTGTATATCATCTTGCCCCCTTTGGAAATACACCATATTTGTGACAATGATAGCACATTACCTCTTTATAGGATATTACTTCTCTAAAAGGTGCAGAGTAATGCTAATTTTTCTGGAAGGAAAAGATACATATGCCTACATAATCAGTATTTCCTAGGAACAGCAGAAGCAAAATAATGGTGACGCTGGACATCCAGGCACTCCATTAGGCACTGAATGCCTAGGTAAGGTAGTAAGTGGAGTGACCTGGTAAAGAAGAGTGGGAACAGGACGGTAAACACAAATAATGCTCAAAGAAATATTAAGATTGCAAATTCTTATCAGCCCTACTTCTGATTTGAAGGAGCCTATTGATTTGTCAATCACAGAACTTGGTTATTACATCAACCAAGAGTAGAAAACCTATTCGAATTGGGCCTAATGGTCTACTTATCTAAATCTTTATAAGATGGCGAGTGCTATGCTTCATTTTTTATTCCCTTTTAAAAAGAGACCACCAATATCATATGGTATTTAAAAAGCAATAAACTTACTGAGATGGATAAGGTTACATCCTGTTCTGTTTAGCAAACAGAGTTGGGAGTACAATTGTAAAAATACAAAAAAAACACATAAAGGCAAAAAATAAGAGAGAGACAGTGAGAGCACAATAACTTGAAAGTCAGCATAATGGTTGTCATTAGGAAGGAGCAGGTGGGAGGATTGGAAAGGATGGACCTCTTTTTTTTTTTTTTAGATGGAGTCTCGCTCTTTCGCCCAGGCTGGAGTGCAGTGGCACAATCTCGGCTCACTACAACCTCTGCCTCCTGGGTTCAAGTGATTCTCCTGCTCAGCCCCCTGAGGAGCTGGGACTACAGGTGTCCACCACCACGCCCGGCTAGTTTCTGTATTTTTAGTACAGGCAGGATTTCACCATGTTGGCCAGGCTGGTCTTGAACTCATGACCTCAAAGGATCCACCCATCTCAGCCTCCCAAAGTGCTGGGATTATAGGCACCCCACCTAGGATGGACTTCTGAGATGCCAACGAGAACACTTTTGAAAAGACATTGGGCATACAATTATTACTTTTAATAAGTGCATACATATGTTTAACTCATTTTCTATATAATTTATTTCACAATTCAAAAATTATCACATTCAACATGCTAATTTGCCATAGATTCGAATGCTGTCCTTCCATTGCCACAGTTGGTCTTGGACTCAACATACACTGTGTACGGATGGCCTAGTTAGCATTCATGGGCCCAGATGTTATCAATCAGATTATTTCTGGAATAAGATGTAGCTCTCTCTTCTTGCCACCACTTCATACCTCTCATGTCATATTTTCCTTTATCTCATTAATTCTTACTTTTATTAGCATTGTTTATTTGAGCTATTTGGAGGACATATGTGATTTAGATATCTGTTTTATCTCTTTTTATAACATTTGCACATATATAAATATGGCTAAAGCACAGAATCTGATTTTGGAGCCCATTGTTTAGATTTCCCAAGTATCTTAGTTCAGCATTTGGAAACAGCCTTGCCCGTTTCTTTGGACTAGGTATGCCCCAGGTTTCTTAAACAATTATGTGAATGATAGATCTTAGGAAGGAGATGATGATTGGGGAAAATAAGTTCAAGCAACTGACCAGTGATACACTCCCTTTATTCAGGGTGGGGGTGGGAAATGCCCCCAGGTAAAGAAGGGAAGGCAAGTAGCCTATTCTTATATTTTAACTTCCAGGGAAATCAGTTAATGATATCTGTTAAGAGAAACATACTGTATTGGATTTCCTTGGCATCATGTCTTGGCTAAGGAATTACTTGCAATAAATTAACCCAGAATCAATGAATGCTCATTGAAACAAGAGCTAGAGTTTAGACTTCTTTCTTCAGGTTGGGTTTTGAAATATGCAAACTGTTTATCGATTTTTCATGACTGTTTAACGAAGTTGAAGGTCTGGTCAGTCCCTGCATTTTTCTCTGTCTCTGTCTCTCGCTTTCTCTTTCTCTTACACACACACACACACACACACACACACGCACACACACACACACAGGTACCCTCTTATTTTTTTGCCTAAGCTATAGGGTCTATACATCTACTCAAATGACTAAGGCTTCATTTCCAAAACAAAGGATATGATTAAAAGAGAAACTCTGTTTGCCTTACCTGAAATCTCAGGCAAGTTATCTCACTATCTTATTTAATTTTTGCCTATGAGATGCCTCATAATATTTCTAATGGCTGTAAATACCCCCTTAGTATAAGTACCTCTGAAGGTGATGTGAATATGTGTCATTATTTTATTGCTTTCATTATAAGGTGGCAAAATATTATTTGAATATGATAAATACCGAATAATGATTTGTTAGATTATAATGGTTTTCTAAACAATAACTCAGTATAATCAACTCAAAACTGACACCATTTCTCAATAATAAAAATCTTCAAAGTAAAACCTCAACTTTGCCACCAATTTTGACCTCATTTACTGCTAGGGCATCTTAAAATAGGACTAGTAAAAAAAAAAAAGAGTAAAGTAAGACTTTTATTTCTGTAGAAGGCAGAAGGCAACTCATGTCAACAAAGAATGTATAATAGCATTTCATGGTCTCTGTCTTGCCCTGCCTTACTTGTGTAACTTTTACTGTGGACATAGAATCCCATTCTTTCTCAGTGCCTTGCTTGAAGTAAATTGATTTCTGCATTTTCTGATCCAGTTGTGAAAACCCTCAATTTTCTCATTTTTCATTCAAGAACAGTGATATTTATCAAAATAATATTTTCACACAAAAAAGTAAAGGAAGGAAGAAAAATATCACATTCAGAGTGGATGCTTTTAAGGATAATGGGTATTGCAGATTTGGCAGGCTCAAGAAATCAAGTGCACAATATCAAGGTTGTTCCTTTTCCTAATTTAACATTCTCTATAGTAGAAAATTTATACACACTTTTTGAGATGTTCTGATTGTAATTATTTCTTAACCAACTGGGGACTCATTTACTCCAATATGCTTCCAGGTTTGTTATATCCTTGTCAGCTTGGAAATCGCTACCTAGAAGAGGTCTCTCCTTGCAGTTTCTTCTGACAGTTGCTGAATCACTGACATGCTAAGGTGACATTTCTTTTTCAGTCAATTTCTTTCTGGACTTCCATTCGCTCTGATCTTATTTTTTAATACATTTCTTGGTGATCTGTCTGCATACAGGAGCTTACTTATTTTCACCTTTTTATTTTACCTACTGTAGATAGATGATAGAAAGGTAAATAGATTAGATAGATAGGTAGATAAATAGATAATTGATAGATAAATGGATAGATAAAGAAATACATAGACTGTCATTATATTGTTAACTCTCCAAAGACACTTAAAATTCTCCCTTCAACATGCACAAATACATTCCCCCTCTGTATTCCATCTTCTTCCTGTGTAGAATTAGTGAATCTGTTCCCTATTCCTTTTAACTTGACTTAGATCCAGCTATGCAACGTTGCTGCTGTTGAATTTACCTCTCATTATTTCTTCTACCTCTTCTATAATCTTGATAAATGGTGACTCTATTTCTGTTTAGGGGGCATGTCAGTTGCAGGGAGTCCTCACTTTTATTAAGTGGGATTGTAAAGTTGTCTATGTCAACCAAAGTCATGCAAAGCAATTATGATTGTTCGATGACCTTTAAAAGTTTTTGTCAAAATATTTAAAACCCTCTACTATTAGCTATAAATGTATAGGGGATTCAAAATTTAGTAAAACTAATATTTAGTAAGCCATAATTTAAAACATTAGAAACATTGCTTATTAAAATATTTTCTTTCTTTGTAAAAAAAAGTGTATTGAGTAGTGTAAAGAGTGGTTGCATTCTTCTTGCATTCCAAGTTTCTGTAGTGTCACTTAAGATGAGGAGAGTAGTTTTGCTATGTCTTGATGAGTTGTCATATTACGAGTTGTCATATTACTTGCTATGTTTGGATCAGCTTCCATCATTTTATCCTTCACACTTTTAATTTTGAGAGTTTCCTTAATGAGAAATTTTTGGTTGTATCATTTCATCTGTGATGGCTTCATCCTGCCTGTCACTAACACTTTCTTTATTTACATTGATAACTTTACCTTCACTGGGCTTCTTTGGCTGCATTTCTAGAATCTTTCCACTGGCAGCTGTGCCGGCATTCCCGAGATAATTTTTTTTAACCCCATTTATGTTCAATTTGAATTTTACCTCTAACGTTATCACTTTTTGTTTCTTTGCTGACTGTTATTTTTGTTGGCAAATCCTTTTTATTACCCACCAACATTTTGTAAAATGTCATGTGGGTTTCTCACTGAAAGACAAGAAGTTAACAGAAATACATACTTTGCATGAATTGAAAAACATATGTGTGGTGACTACTAATGGATGTGACTGGTGAATGATCACGATATACATGTGTCATTTACACTGTCATTTGTGCACTTAAGAGCTAGCATTAAAGTTTGTGTTTTTCGCAATTATTCATAATTAATATACCATGGTAACTAAAATTTGAGCCATGTGTTGGGGGATTGGTGTTATTTCACAAAATCATAGTAATGTAAACTTGTATGTATACAAACCATGTACAGAGAGGATGAACTGTATATATTTATTGGGTAAAGCAACTAATAATTTAGATGAGAGACTACACTGGTTAACTCAATCAAATTAGGATGCCCCTTAAGAGCTGGTTTCTTGGTCCCTAACCTTATTGCTGCTACACATCCTCAAAAAGGGCTGCAGAGGATGACCCTAACCACTATGCTCTTTTAATTCCTGATTGTGAGGTCCTTGGAAAGCCAAAAAGCTTAGACAGTTAATATGTCAAAAACCAGTAACAATTTGTACATTAAAGAACTTGAAATTTGTGATGTATGTCAAAATGATCACCAATGAATTAGAAACAACAAATTAAATGCTCATTAGGATTATGAAGAATTATCTAGGTATGTCATCAATTCTACTATAACATCTTTGCTTTAAATTCTGCTGTGCTTTGCCTGCCATCTCTTTCTACTTCCTCTAGGATTTTTATGATATCTATCATTTGTGGCTGCCCACAGTTTCCTGAATCTCTCTCTACATTTTGAAAATGCCCAACATTGTCAATCTGCTTTCCCAACACACTCACACACTCTCTCTTGCAACTGGAATGCTGACCTGTGACATGACAATCATTTGCATGGTATATGTGGAGGCAGAGGAAGCTTAGTTTGGAGACTGGTAGAGGGTGGTCTGAGTTTTACATCAGCACATTTTTGGGCATGATAGATCTGCTATGGTTTGGGAATGCTTGGAAGCAGCTGCTCTCATATCTGGCTAGTTTTACAGGGAGTTTCTGGGAATTGTTTTTACAATTTCAGACATAAGTGGTTTCTCCATTACTCCAAGTGAATATTTGGGTTTAGTTTCTTTATGCCAAAAGAGCTAGTGCTAACTCTGTCTTCTGAAATTAAATACTCAGATGTGTATTATAGTGCTTCATTTCTTAATGTTTTCTTAGATATTCAGTCTCTACTCCTGCCCTAACTCTTTGAGCTAGATTTGATATATATTTAAGTCATTCTAAAGCCTGATACTCCTTTTTATGTTATAACCTCCCCCCTTATTAAAATGTTGCTGTATTTTATCATTTATTTCCACTGCACAATTTTTCATTCATTGTCTCCACTTCTGAAGCTACTCTGGAAACAAACAAACAAAACACCCATGATATACTAATGATTAACTTAATTCCTTTAAAAAAATGTCTTAGCTTACCAATCCAACTTGTCTCCCCTTCCTCATCTATGACTTTTTCTCTTTTGCCTCTTCTTTTCTATTAAGTGTTTTTTATTCTGTCTATTAAGTGTTCTTATTTCAAAAACCCTTTCCCTGTGCCTAGATGGTTGATCTTGTGTTAAGTGCACTCTAGTTCCTTTAACACTATCATATTTATACATTGAGAGGTTATGGTAAAGTTTGGGAGTCTTGATTATCATTCATCTGGTACATTCATGTAACACATGCTCAGTAAGCAACAGATATATAAGATTTCAAACTCTTCCTTTCTTATTTCCACTAATGTTCTAAAATAAAAAAGAGTATTTAACTTTGTTCTTAAATACTAACAGCATTTTATGTTAGTATTAAATTGGTTTTTGTTTTGTATTAAGTTGGTTGCCATGACTTAAAGTAACAAAAGTTCAATTTAAACATGTTTAACAGTAATAAAGCTTATATTTGCATTTACATAATTGGAAATGAAGGGGTACACTAGGTTTCAAGTCACTGGTTCCATATCTTTGCAGCTTTTCTCTGTGTCTTGGTGCTACCCATGGTTTCTCTCATGGTTATAAGATGACTGCTAATAGACATAACGTCAGTGTTTCCTTGGTCATGTCTGGGTCATATTTTGTGTGGAGAAGGAAAAAAAATAGGCAAATTTCTCAAACTGCTCAGAACGAAGTATACTCACATACTGACATACCTAATAATCTTTTTTCTCCCCAGCATAATAATGATGATGATGATAATGGACTGGAAAAATTAAACATTTCACCTTCATTTCTCCCCTCATTTTCATCTGTCGTTCAGTACACACAAACACACACACACACACACACACACACACACACACACATCCCATTCTTGCTGCTATGCGTTAAGCTTAGGAACACAATACAATGTCTTGCTATTCTTGAGTTAAAGAAATTGTAATTTCTGAACCTTTCAGAAGAATGAAGTCACTAAAAATTATAAAGAGAGAATTTCTTTTCTGTTTTGATTCATGTTAAATCTAATCAAACTATTATAATTATCCAGAAGGGGACACATCTATTTGTTCAGCGCTTGTTGCAACTTTCATTCATTTCCTCTTCATCTTTCTTCTCTTGTTTAAACACAAGTTTTGGGCTTTTATTTGTGATAATAAAATCAATTTGTATCAACAATAAGTCAAAGAAAACTTAAATATTTTAAAAGAGGTTACTCTAAAATAACACTCAGAAAACAATTCCTTGCCCATTGTAATTTCTTGCTTGGCTGCCCAACAATTTTCTGCCAGCAACTAAACTCATGAGAGAGCTAAAATATTTCTGATGTAGATCATACACCTAAATTTCTTTTTTTTTAAAGTCACTTTTATATTATCTGTGGAATTGTTATTTTCCTTTCCTGGTAGGTATTCTTTCTTGACATTTTACTTTCTCTGTGTAGTAAATTAAATAAATGCACAAAGTAGAAAGAAGTTTACATAAATTTTTCATTTAAAAATATTTAATCTTCCGGCCAGGTGCACTGGCTCACTCCTGTAATCTCAGCACTTTGGGAGGCCCAGGAGGGTGGATCGCCTAAGGTCAGGAGTTCAAGAACAGCCTGGCCAACATGGTGAAACCCTGTTTCTGCTAAAAAATACAAAAAAATTAGCCTGTCATGGTGGCGTGTGCCTGTAATCCCAGCTACTTGGGAGGCTGAGGCAAAAGAATCGCTTGAACCCAGGAGGTAGAGATTGCAGTGAGCTGAGATCACGCCACGGCACTCCAGCCTGGGTGACTGAATGAAATTCTGTCTCAGAAAAAAAAAGTGTATATATATATATAAAATAAATATATATACTTATAAAAATAAGTATATATAATAATTAACATATATTATATATAAATATATAATATATATACTTAATCTCCCATCTAGAGAAATGAGTTAATAATACTTATTAATTTATAAAATATTATAATAACCTGAACATGCGAGATATATTCTGGGTTTATTTTATTTTATGTATATTCTCCTGCCCAGTCCCATAGGACTCCCACCTGATAAACACCCATTCTAATATATTTGATTATTCCTTTGTTCCTTCTTTACTTCTTACACACAATATGATTTATTTTCTGATCTGAAAATGTATCTAGTTCCTGGCTTCTATGTGCTCTAGAGCATTCCATGAAACACATCAGCTCATCTTCTAGCCATTGCCCCCTCATAATGGAAACATAGGCTGCCCTCTCCTCTGTACTTCCACAATCAATGTCACATGGACAGCTTCTTAATGATCTATGTGGAAATACATGTGAGATCCCTGGGTATATGTCTTAACATCTTTAATTTCACTAAGTGTAGCCAAATTGCTTTCCAGAATTTCTGTCCCAGTGTGCACTAAAACCCAAGCCTCTTTCACCCAACATTTGTTACTTACTTTCTCATATACTTCTCTAATTTTGGCTTTTTTGGCAAATGCAAAATAGAGAAACACGCACTGTTTAAGTGCTGCTTTAAACATAGCTAATAATAGCATCATATGATGAATTCCCTACTGACTTTCAATGGTGTGTGTCCATGCTTGCAATCATCTGACACTGAGATGAATTCACAAAGAAAAAGAAAAGCAGAGAGACTTAGACTGAGATTTCAAAAGGACAAAAGAGAAGGATTCTGTGAAAGAAAAAATGCTATAAATACATTCATTGCCTTTGTCTCTCCCAATTATTTGATACCGAGATAGGCAATTTTAAAAAAAATGCCATGAACGCCTAGAAGCTGATATTAATGGCCACAGCCAAAGATGCTGAAGAGGCTAATGTTGATGCTGTCATCCATAGCACCTCTACCAATGCTTCTGGCAGGAACATGACTTTTGAATACAAACCAGTGCTTTTACTAGCACAGCTGACATTATTGCTAACATGGACAATCGTGCCACAGTAACAACTGAACTCACCCCCAGTGTTCTTGCTGTGGTCAGCACCATCACTGGCACCAACAGCACTGCCAATGCCGGTTAGTACCTGTGTAATCTCTGCCTCGGCTGCCACTGGCAATGATGTCCTCATTACCTTTTATCACCTTTACAACCTAATGCTCTCCAGAAATCATAGCAATAGTTTTAATTTCATTTTTAATTTTTAATTTATGCTTTAATTATATATGCTAAGCTACAGGACTATCTGTGTAGTAGATCTGTAATGTATTCAAAATTATTTGGTCCTGAAAAAACTTGCTTTCCAAGTTCCTTTGTCCCATAGAATAAGATAGCTCCCTTCAGGCTCCCTATTTTGTCATATTACTATTCCTGAAATTGATAAAGGCCAGGTAGGCCTAGTTAACAGAATATACAAAACTATTTTACAGGCCGGAGCCTGTGCTATGGAAGGTGGTAGAAATTAATAAGTACTATAGAAGAGATCCAGACACAATTTTTCTTCTCCAGAATGCAGTTTTTTATAAGTATTTTTTCCATTATTTGAAAGCATCAAAAATTTTAATATTTCATAGTTAAGGTTAAAAAAGTAGTAAATTTTATAAGAAGTATTAATAATAATATGGCAAATAAGTCACAAAACTTTAAAGTAATGTGACTGAAGTTATATTTTTATTTAGAATATTAGCTGAGAGATGAAATAGAAATAAAAAAATTACAATAATATAATTACATAAAACATGGTAGACAGAAACTTTCAGCTACACTCTTGCCCAGCAATCTCTAGCAGGAAATGTATCAGGTCTTTCAGAGTTAAAACCCTGCTTTTTTATTCTATTAAAACATTTGGCTTTAGAAATAAATATGTTGGTCTAGGACACTGTTTCTTTAATTTTAATTAATACATAAAGCCATATTAAAAGGGAAAAGAAGTCTCAATCTCTCAATGTTGAATTAAATTATTTTGATTATAACGTTACTTAAATCTGTACAAATATAAACCAAAGTATAAACTCCTATTGTTATAACTTTTATATAACCACAAAACTAAAATATATGTATATATTAAATAAAAGAAAAACTACAAAACCAATAAAATTTAAATTAACAACATTTATTAAAAGTGTCAGTTGAGGGTATTTCTAAGCTAAATTGCCACTTGCCATAGGAATAGGCGATTGACTGCCATGGTACAGATTCTTTTGAGTCAGCACTTATCTACTTTTCTGTGCCCTTTGAGGACTTAATTTCCCACCACATTTCTCTACTCAAAGGACTGTGGAAACTTTATTTGTAAAGCATGCTGTGAATCAATTGGCTTTCACTTGGCACAAAGTCATCTTTTACTTACTAAGTTTGCTTCTTTTCTCATTACCCTAAGACAATTAAAGTCATATTTTGGGTGCCAGAACAATTGTAAAGTCAAAGAAAAATGCTGATTCTGAAAGAGTGTAGAGTTACTGAATATAAGTTGGTAGTCATCTAAATAATCTGAATATTCTTAGATACTAACATTGAAATAAACACACACACACACATACTTAGTTAAATCTCAAGACTACTGCATTTTGATTTGGGTTAAAGGCAGAAGGATATGCAACATTTTAATATGCACAAAAAGTTAGAGCTCTAGCGTTAAATGAACATATGGGAGAGAAAGTATTCTTATTTTAATGTAGAAACCTGGAAAATTGTGTTAATGGAATGCCATCATTTTTGTTCATTACAAAAAAATCTTTACTGAGGATCTATCCTTTATAGAATACAGTTCTAGAGAAACCGGCATGAAGATGAATAATTCATGGTATGTACATTCAAAGGGATGAAAACCTAAGGTTAGATGATTGCACAAAATAATGATTATCATATAAAGTGGTGATGACCCTAATCATGGTATGTATAAGCTACATTCAGACATTAAAATAGAGTCCTTGGTAAATTATATTTGATATATGATTTACCAAAATATATCTCTAACTGATTGAATTGAGTATCTGGGAAGAGGTGTTAAGCCTACACACTAATTTTACACTTGAAACAGCAAGGGAGAATTTGAAAAGCATCTCATCCTCCAACATTTCATTAGTCTATTGCACTCAGAAGTATTTTTAACACCATGTTGATTAGAATTCTTGGATACAATGGAAAGAAACTAACCCTAGATAATGTTAGCAAAAATTAATTGATATGGAGGATACAAGGTGTCCATAAAATCAGAGACACAAGAGAAAAATTCAGCCATCACACTGCAGAAAAATCAAAGTATTTCTGATTACATAGAGCGAAGGAATAAAGAGTCCCTAAGTCCAGCCAGCTACAGTGATTTCTGTCCTTGTTTTCTTACTCAACATTCATATTACTTAGACAATAAGTCCAAATGTCCTAACTGGAATCTTAAGACTTCTTCATCTGAGGTTAGGTTACAATATAATAAACGACTTATCTACTTAGTGTGTGAATTCCACATTAAAATTTAAGTGCAATGAGGGAAGAATCATTAGTGGTGGGTTTACTACTGGATCTCCAGCGGCTGTATCAGTGTCTAAAACATAGTATCAGTTTAATAGGGATTGGTGAATAAACTACAAAATAAATGTGCCATGCCCTTGGCTAGAGGAAGCATGCCTTGGTTCATTGTCTCACAAACACTGAGCACAATGGGAGGACAGTTCTCCATGGGAAAATCAGTGGGCCTGATACTAGAGATAGAGGAAATTGATACTGGAAAGACAACAACAGAAGGGGAGTGAACCTAGGTGTCCATTAAAAACAACTACTGATTGATGTCTAGGTAAAGGGGACCTTTTTGAGACTACTCCTGTCTCATGAGTAGTTTATAAGCAATTGTTTTATCAGCATTAAAGCTAATATTACAACAAAAAGAAAGATATTAAAACAATAATTTAAGCTTTCACCAAGGCCGGTTCAACATACACAAATCAATAAATGTAATCCAGCATATAAACAGAACCAAAGACAAAAACCACATGATTATCTCAATAGATGCAGAAAAGGCCTTTGACAAAATTCAACAACCTTCATGCTAAAAACTCTCAATAAATTAGGTATTGATGGGACGTATCTCAAAATAATAAGAGCTACCTATGACAAACCCACAGCCAATATCATACTGAATGGACAAAAACTGGAAGCATTCCCTTTGAAAACGGGCACAAGACAGGGATGCCCTCTCTCACCACTCCTATTCAACATAGTGTTGGAAGGTTCTGGCCAGGGCAATCAGGCAGGAGAAGGAAATAAAGGGTATTCAATTAGGAAAAGAGGAAGTCAAATTGTCCCTGTTTGCAGATGACATGATTGTATATCTAGAAAAACCCATCGTCTCAGCTCCAAATCTCCTTAAGCTGATAAGCAACTTCAGCAAAGTCTCAGGATACAAAATCAATGTGCAAAAACCACAAGCATTCTTATACACCAATAACAGACAAACAGAGAGCCAAATCATGAGTGAACTCCCATTCACAATTGCTTCAAAGAGAATAAAATACCTAGGAATCCAACTTACAAGGGACATGAAGGACCTCTTCAAGGAGAACTACAAACCACTGCTCGATGAAATAAAAGAGGATACAAACAAATGGAAGAACATTAAGAATCAATATCGTGAAAATGGCCATACTGCCCAAGGTAATTTCTAGATTCAATGCCATCCCCATCAAGCTACCAATGACTTTCTTCACAGAATTGGAAAAAACTACTTTAAAGTTCATATGGAACCAAAAAAGAGCCCGCATCGCCAAGTCAATCCTAAGCCAAAAGAACAAAGCTGGAGGCATCACACTACCTGACTTCCAACTATACTACAAGGCTACAGTAACCAAAACAGCATGGTACTGGTACCAAAACAGAGATATAGACAAATGGAACAGAACAGAGCCCTCAGAAATAATGCTGCATATCTACAACTATCTGATCTTTGACAAACCTGACAAAAACAAGCAATGGGGAAAGGATTCCCTATTGAATAAATGGTGCTGGGAAAACTGGCTAGCCATATGCAGAAAGCTGAAACTGGATCCCTTCCTTACAACTTATACAAAAATTAATTCAAGATGGGGATTAAAGACTTCAATATGTTAGACCTAAAACCATAAAAACCCTAGAAGAAAACCTAGGCAATACCATTCAGGACATAGGCATGGGCAAGAGCTTCATGTCTAAAACACCAAAAGCAATGGCAACAAAAGCCAAAATTGACAAATGGGATCTAATTAAACTAAAGAGCTTCTGCACAGCAAAAGAAACTACCATCAGAGTGAACAGGCAACCTACAGAATGCGAGAAAATTTTTGCAATCTACTCATCTGACAAAGGGCTAATATACAGAATCTACAAAGAACTCAAACAAATTTACAAGAAAAAAACAAACAACCCCATCAAAAAGTGGGTGAAGGATATGAACAGACACTTCTCAAAAGAAGACATTTATGCAGCCAAAAAACACATGAAAAAATGCTTATCATCACTGGCCATCAGAGAAATGCAAATCAAAACCACAATGAGATACCATCTCACACCAGTTAGAATGGCGATCATTAAAAAGTCAGGAAACAACAGGTGCTGGAGAGGATGTGGAGAAATAAGAACATTTTTACACTATTGGTGGGACTGTAACCTAGTTCAACCATTGTAGAAGTCAGTGTGGCGATTCCTCAGATATCTAGAACTAGAAATACCATTTGACCCAGCCATCCCATTACTGGGGATATACTCAAAGGATTATAAATCATGCTGCTATAAAGACACATATGCACATGTATGTTTATTGCAGCACTATTCACAATAGCAAAGACTTGGAACCAACCTAAATGTCCAACAACGATAGACTGGATTAAGAAAATGTGACACATATACACCATGGAATACTATGCAGCCATAAAAAATGATGAGTTCATGTCCTTTGTAGGGACATGGATGAAACTGGAAACCATCATTCTCAGCAAACTATCGCAAGGACAAAAAACCAAACACCGCATGTTCTCGCTCACAGGTGGGAATTGAATAATGAGAACACATGGACACAGGAAGGGGAACATCACACACCGGGGACTCTTCTGGGGTTGGGGGAGGGGGAGGGATAGCATTAGGAGATATACCTAATGCTAAATGACGAGTTAATGGGTGCAGCACACCAACATGGCACATGTATACATATGTAACAAACCTGCACGTTGTGCACATGCATCCTAAAACTTAAAGTATAATAATAATAAAATAAAAAAGAGAAAAAAAAGAAAAAATAGAAGAAAGGAAATTAAAAAAGAGTGTCCATAAAAGAAATCAATGTAAATAAAATCTGGTTAATTAAAAAGACCAAATAATTGGATAAATTCCTGTCTATATTGATGTAGAATAACAGACAACACCAAATTCGTAATATTATGAATAAGATGGAAGATAATACCACAGATATTTCTGGCATTTAAAGAAAGAAAAGGAATACTATGAATAGATTTATGACAATAAAGTCAAGAATATATATTAAAATCTGCAAATCCTTCAAAGATAAGAACTAACAAACCTCCCTCAAGATAGAGATAAGGGAAATAGTTTATGAAAGAAATTTAATTTGTAATTAAATTCTTTCAATAAGAAAATGGCAAGCCCATGTAGCTTAAAAAGTACATTCTTCCCAATATCTAAGTAAAAATAAATATCAATTCTACACAAAACTGAAGACAACAATTCCCAACTCATTTCATAAAGTTAGTTTCTCTGATCTCAAAACCAGACACTGACGTTATAAGAAAATTGTGGACCAATATCCCTCATGAATATACACAAAAACATCATCTGCAAAACAATACCAAATTGAGTTCATTAAATATAGAAAGTATTATAAATCATAACCAAGGAAGGTTTATCCCAAGGATATGAGATTGACTCCATATCTACAAATGAATCCTTGATATTTATATCTATATATTCATATATATAATCATATAATCATCTCCATATAGGCAGGGAAATAGTTTGATAACATTAACATATATTCATAATAAATAATAAAAATTAGAAATTAAAGCAAGAATAAGCATCTTTTTCCCTGTAAAGCGCTAGATTATCAATACTTAAGGCTTTATGGGTTACAGCTGTCTCTTGCAGATTATCTTCTTCTCCTTAAAAAATAAAAGACCTTTAGAAATATAGCTTGCAGATCATATACACACAATACATGAATCAGATTTGGCTTGCAGGTTTTAGTTTGCCAACATCTGCATTAAAGGAAATTTCCATCTGACAAAGGGCATCTATGCTATGCCTCAAAATAGCATAATGCTTAATAATAAAATACCAGATACCTTCCACTTAAATATGCGAGAAAGCTAATAATATTCATTCCAGCTACTCATATTTAACTTTGTACTGGAGTATCCAGTACAAAGGATAAAAGGATAAAAAGGACAATTACAAAAATAAAAGAAATTAAAGAAAGAAAAGAAGAATCCTTGACGATACTATATTCTATGTAGAAAATCTCAAACATATAATAAAATATTAGAACAAATTAATATGTTTAAAATGGAAGCAAGATACAAGCTCAAAGTACAAAGATAAATTTTAATTCCATTTTAATTATTAATTGAAAATGTAAATGTAAGGCTAGTTTTTGCAATA
Organism: Homo sapiens; assembly: GCF_000001405.40. Classification (NCBI taxonomy): domain Eukaryota; kingdom Metazoa; phylum Chordata; class Mammalia; order Primates; family Hominidae; genus Homo; species Homo sapiens. Next base: position 83,491,646 of record NC_000002.12, read on the forward strand.
GTGTTGAAAAACATACAGCATTTACATATTAATTTAACAAAATGCATACAAGATTAATAGCCTGAAAACTTAAAAAAATTAATGGGGGCCGGGCGTGGTGGCTCATGCCTGTAATCCCAGTACTTTGGGAGGCTGAGGTCAGGAGATCGAGACTATCCTGGCTAACACAGTGAAACCCCGTCTCTACTAAAAAATACAAAAAAATTAGCTGGGCGTGGTGGCAGGCACCTGTAGTCCCATCTACTCAGGAGGCTGAGGCAGGACAATGGCAGGAACCTGGGAGGCAGAGCTTGCAGTGAGCCGAGATCGCACCACAGCACTCCACCCTGGGTGACAGAGTGAGACTCCGTCTCAAAAAAAAAAAATTAATGGGGTAAATAAAAGACCAAAATACATGGAGAGATATACTGTGTTTATGTATAGAAGAATTCATATTGTTGAGTTTTCTAATTCCTTTCAAAATGACATATAGATTCACTGCAGTCCCAGATGCAATTTAGTAATTTATTTTGTAGAAACTGGCAGGCTCATTCTAAAATGTATACATAAAGATAATGATCTGTAATAATCACAATTAATTTCAAACAACAAAAATTAAGTTGGAAAGTTCATGCTACCTAATTTCAAGATTTATCATAAAAATACTAATCAAGTCAATAAAATCAACCAAGACCTAGTTATATGGTGTCTATAAGAAACTCACATTAAATATAAGGAAACAGATAGATTAATATGTGGATATTTAGAATTATATACCATGCTAACACAAATCAAAATAAAGTTGAAATAGTAGCTGTATTAATTCCAGTCCAAGCAGACTTTAGAACAAGAAAAATTAGCATGGCCAAAAGGGACAATGCATAGCAAAAAGGCAGTTAATTATCAAAGAAAATGTAACAATTCTAAATATGCACGCATCTAACTACAATACATCAAATACAGGAGGGAAAACCTTACAGGCGTCCAAAGAAATACACAGACAAATTATTTTAGTTGGTGATTTCATCACATCTCTTTTGGTGACTGACATATAAATCAAAAAGAAAATGAATAAAAATTACTTGAACTAAGGAGCACCATCAGTCAAAACTATTTAATTGACATTTATAAAATTGTTCATCCAACAATAGCATAATACACATTATTCTGAAGCTTACAAATAACATTTACTAAAATAGGCCACATTCTGACAATTAAACATTCTTTAAGAAATGTATAAGAAATTATACAAAGTTTGCTCTCATAAAACAGTAAATAAAATAGAAATCAGTAACAAAAAGGTAGCTTAAAAATAACAAATAAAGCATATGTGGAGATTAAGCCACAAACATGTACATAATATATAGGTCAAATAAGAAGTCTCAAGAAAAATTTTTAAAAGTATTTTGAAATAAATGAAAATTAAAAAAGAATTTATCAAAATCTGTGGTATGCAGCAGTAGCAGTGTTTTTAGGGGCAAATGTATCACATGGAATTTGTATGTTAAACTAGAAAACATAAAATCAATCATGTAAACTTCCAGACTAGGAAGCTAGAAAAAGAAAGGCAGTATAAGCTTAAATCTAGCAGAAAAATACATAAAAATTTGAGCAGAAATCAATTAAATTGAAAACAGAAAAAAAACCACAGAAAATCAATGAAACCAAAAGCTAGCTCTTTGAAAGCGTCAATAAAATTGATAAACCTCTAGCCATGCTAAACATGAAAATAAAAAAGATACAAATTACCAAGATCAAAAAAAGGAAGGGGTTATCATACTGAACCCATAGGCATTAAAGGATAATAAATGAATATTATGAACAACTTTATTCTCACAAATTGAAAACACACATGAAATCAAACAACTTGAAAGAAAAAAATTACAAAACTCATACAATGTAGATAGGTAATCTGACTAAGCCTATCTACATCTAAGAAATTGAATTAATAATTGATCACCTCCCACAACAGACAGTACCAGGTTCAGATGGTTTCACTGGGGAATTTTACCAAACACTTAAGAAAGAAATAACACCAATTCATTACAATCTATTTCAAAAACTATAAGGAGAAGACTGCTTCCTAACTCATTCTATGAGACCAATGTTATCCTAATCCCAAAGCCAAAGAAATTACAGAAAAGGAAAATGAAAGACCATTATCTTTCATGAACACAGATGCAAAACTCCTGTACAAATTATTAGCAAATTAAATCTGAAAATGTAAAAAGAGAATTACATTATGAACAAGTGCAATTTATTTCATATATGCAAAGCTGATTCAACATTTGAAAATAAATTAACATGATCCATTACATCAAAAGACTAAAGAAGAAAAACCATATAATCATATTAATAGATGGAGAAAAAACATCTGACAAACTCCAACATCCATTCATCTTAAAAACTCTAAGCAACTTAGGAATAAAGAGGAATAGCCTCAACTTACAAAAGAACATCAGCAAAAACTTAACACCAACTTATACCTAATGGCGACTAACTAAATGCTTTCAATCTAAGATTAGCAACAACACAAGAGTGTCTCTTCTTCATTCCTATTCAACATTGTACTGAGAGTCACGGCTAAAGCAATAAGATGTGGAAAGTAAAGAAAAGGTACACAGATTGAGAGGGAAGTAAAAAACTCTGTCATTCATAGATGATATGATTGTCAACATAGAAAATGTAGAATCAACAGCAAGAGCATAAAAATTAAAAGTACTGGAAGAAATGTACAAGTACAGCAAGGTTTGAGGATAAAAGGGTGATATAGAAAAATCAATCGCTTTCTTATATACCAGGAATGAATACTTGGAAATACAAATTGAAAACACAATATTATTTATATTAACACCAAAGAAATTATATCATTAGGTTTAAGCGTAGCAAAGTATATAAAAGATCTATATGAGATAAGCTACAGAAACCCAATGATATAAATCAAATAAGATCTAAATAAACAGATATCCCATGGTTATGAATAGATATTGTTAAGATAACCTTTATTTTCCACTTGATCTATAGATTCAATATAATACCAATCAAAATCCAAGCAAATTATTTTGTGGATATTGAAAGCTAATGCTAATAATTATGAAGATTAGTAAAAAGACTCAGAATAGCCAACTGAATTCTGAAGAAGAACAAAGTTGAAAAACTGACACTACCCAACTTTAACCTATTACTATGGATTACAAGTAAATCTATAGTAATCAAGACAGTCTGGTATTGGTGAAAGAATATACAAATAATTCAGTGGAACCAAATTGATGCCCAGGAATAGACCAACAAAAATACAGTCAATTGATCTTTGACACAAAGCAAAGGCAATTAAATGAAGAAAGAAGTCTTTTCAGTAAATGGTGCTGCAACAATCACATATCCAAGTACCAAAAAAATAAATTTTGGCACAGAACTTATGTCCTAAAAATTAAATCATGGTGTATATGTGCCACATTTTCTTAATCCAGTCTATCATTGTTGGACATTTGGGTTGGTTCCAAGTCTTTGCTAATTGTGAGTAGTGCTGCAATAAAAATACATGTGCATGTGTCTTTATAGCAGCATGATTTGTATTCCTTTTGGCACAATTACACCATGGAATACTATGCAACCATAAAACATAATGAGTTCATGCCCTTTGTAGGGACATGGATGAAGCTGGAAACCATCATTCTCAGCAAACTATAGCAAGGACAAAAAACCAAACACCGCATGTTCTCACTCATAGGTGGGAATTGAACAATGAGAACACTTGGACACAGGAAGGGGAACATCACATGCCGGAACCTGTTGTAGGGTGGGAGGAGGAGGGAGGGATAGCATTAGGAGATATACCTAATGTAAATGATGAGTTAATGGGTGCAGCACACCAACATGGCACATGTATACATATGTAACAAACCTGCACGTTGTGCACAAGTACCCTAGAACCTAAAGTATAATTTGAAAATATATATATATATTTTATATATATTATATATATATATTTTATATATATATTATATATATATTTTATATATATATTATATATATATTTTATATATATATTATATATATATTTTATATATATATTATATATATATTTTATATATATTATATATATATTTTATATATATTATATATATATTTTATATATATATTATATATATATTTTATATATATATTATATATATATTTTATATATATATTATATATATATTTTATATATATATTATATATATATTTTATATATATATTATATATATATTTTATATATATATTATATATATATTTTATATATATATTATATATATATTTTATATATATATTATATATATATAGAATTTAGGTCCCCTAACTCCAAAAAATAAAAATAAAAATAAAAAAATAGAGAATAAACAACAAAAAAGTGACTACACATTACCCATAAATGTCAGGAAGGGACTACGCTTAAGAAGAGAAAGGAAGCTGTGGATGGGGATGGGCATGGAGGTAGGGGTGCTTCTGAGCCCTACCAATATTCTACTTCTTGACCTTGATTGGTGATTATACAGTGTTCCTATTATAGTAATTCATTAAACTGCATACTTATGTTTTTATGCAATTATTATGTGTTTTTTCTTAAAAAGTAAAATATTAAAAAATTAAATCAAAATAGATCTTAAAGCTAAATGTAAAATAAATTTTAAGACTTTTGCAAGATAATACAGATGCTTCTTTTATATATATATATTATATATATATAGATTATACTTTAAGTTCTACGGTACATGTGCACAACAGGCAGGTTTGTTACATATGTATACATGTGCTATGTTGGTGTGCTGCACCCATTAAACTCATCATTTACGTTAGGTATATCTCCTAATGCTATCCCTCCCACCTCTCCACACCCTAAAACAGGCCCTGGTGTGTGTTATTCCCCCTCCTGTGTCCAAGTGTTCTCATTGTTCAATTCCCACCTATGAGTGAGAATATGCGGTGTTTGGTTTTTTGTTCTTGGGATAGTTTGTAGAGAATGATGGTTTCCAGCTTCATCCATGTCCCTACAAAGGACATGAGCTCATCATTTTTTACAGCTGCATAGTATTCCATGGTGTATATGTGCCACATTTTCTTAATCCAGTCTACCATTGCTGGACATTTGGGTTGGATCCAAGTCTTTGCTATTGTGAATAGTGCCGCAATAAACATACGTGTGCATATGTGTCTTTATAGCAGCATGATTTATAATCCTTTAGGTATATCCCCAGTAATGGGATGGCTGGGTCAAATGGTATTTCTAGTTCTAGATATCTGAGGAATCGCCACACTGACTTCCACAATGGTTGAACTAGTTTACAGTCCCACCAATAGTGTAAAAGTGTTCCTATTTCTCCACATCCTCTCCAGCACCTGTTGTTTCCTGACTTTTTAATGATCACCATTCTAACTGGTGTGAGATGGTATCTCATTGTGGTTTTGATTTGCATTTCTCTGATGGCCAGTGATGATGAGCATTTTTTCATGTGTCTGTTGGCTGCATAAATGTCTTCTTTTGAGAAGTGTCTGTTCATATCCTTCACCCACTTTTTGATGGGGTTGTTTTTTTCTTGTAAATTTGTTTGAGTTCTTTGTAGATTCTGGATATTATCCCTTTGTCAGATGAGCAGATTGCAAAAATTTTCTCCCATTCTGTAGGTTGCCTGTTCACTCTGATGGTAGTTTCTTTTGCTGTGCAGAAGCTCTTTAGTTTAATTAGATCCCATTTGTCAATTTTGGCTTTTGTTGCCATTGCTTTTGGTGTTTTAGACATGAAGTCCTTGCTCATGCCTATGTCCTGAATGGTATTGCCTAGGTTTTCTTCTAGGGTTTTTATGGTTTTAGGTCTAACATATTTAAGTCTTTAATCCATCTTGAATTAATTTTTGTATAAGATGTAAGGAAGGGATCCAGTTTCAGCTTTCTGCATATGGGTAACCAGTTTTCCCAGCACCATTTGTTGAATAGGGAATCCTTTCCCCATTTCTTGTTTTTGTCAGGTTTGTCAGGTTTGTCAAAGATCAGATAGTTGTAGATGTGTCGTATTATTTCTGAGGGCTCTGTTCTGTTCCATTTGTCTATATCTCTGTTTTGGTACCAGTACCATGCTGTTTGATTACTGTCGCCTTGTAGTATAGTTTGAAGTCAGGTAGCGTGATGCCTCTAGCTCTGTTCTTTTGGCTTAGGATTGACTTGGCAATGTGGGCTCTTTTTTGGTTCCATATGAACTTTAAAGTAGTTTTTTCCAATTCTGTGAAGAAAGTCATTGGTTGCTTGATGGGGATGGCATTGAATCTATAAATTACAGATGCTTCTTGACATACAATGGAATTGTATGTCATCATAAGCTGAAAATATTGTAAGCCAAAAATACATCTAATACACCTAATTTACTGAACATTACAGCTTAGCCTAGACTACTTTAAACATGCTCAGAACAATTACATTAGCCTATATTTGGGCAATATTATCTAGCAGAAAATTTATTTTATAATAAAATGTTGACAAATCATGTAATTTATTGAATACTTTACTCAAAGTGAAAAACAGAAAGTTAAACTCTCTTAAATCAGGGACCATCTGTATAGAAGAAAATGTAGGTGATGATTTGTTTGGTATTGAGTTTTTACATATGATACCAAAAGCATGTTTTATGAAAGTAAAAAAAAAAAAAAAAGCTGATATTTACTTAAATTAAAAACTTCTGCCCTGAAAAAAACAACAGCAAAGAAAAAAAATAATAAAATAAAAAACAAGCCCTAGAGAGGGATAAAACATTTGCATAATAAAAAGAACTCTTAAAACTCGTTAATAGGAAAACAAACAACCTGATTTAAAATGGATATGATAGTCATTAAAAATGACTTAAAATAACAAATAAACATATAAAATATGTTCAACATCGTATTTTATTAAATTTCAAATTAAAACAATAATGAGATACCACTATACACATATTACAATGGCCCAAATCCAAAACTCTGAGAACACCAAATTCTGGTGATGATGTAGAGCTAAATGTCCTCTTATTTGCTAATGGTGAGAATGAAAAGTGGTACAGCCACTTTGGAAGACTGTTTGCCAGTCCATTAGAAAGCTAAATACAGTCTCAGCATACTGTCCAGCAAGTGCGCTCCTAGGTATTTAACAAAAGGCTGAAGATTATGTCCACACAAAAACCTGTACACAAATGTTTTAACAGCTTTATATGTTACTTCCCAAATTTGAAGCAACCTAGATGTCCTCCAGTAGGTGAATGGGCAATCCATATAACATTCTGCAGTAAAAAGAAATGAGCTATCAAATCACAAAAGACATTAAGGAAACAAATTGATATTGCTAAGTGAAATAAACGAGTTTGAAAGGCTACAGACTCCATGATTACAAATCTGTGACAAAAACTACAAGAAAAGACGAAACTCTGGAGACAGTAAAAAGTTCAGTAGTATCCAGTGGTTTGAGGAGTGGGGTAGAGATAAAGAAGTGAAGCACAGGATATTTTTAGGGCAGTCAAACTATTCTACATGATACTATAATGGTATGTAAATGACAGTATACTTTTGTCAAAACCCAGGGAACTGTACAACACAGAGTGAACCCAAATGTAAACTACAGACTGTAGTTAATAATAATGTGTTAATATCAGTCTGTCAGTTGCAACGAATGAACAATACTAAAGCAAGATGTTAATAATTGAATAAACTGTGTGGGAGAAAGGCAAGGCATATTGGAACTCTATACTTTGCTCAATTTTTCTGGAAACTAAGGTGTTTTTAAAAACAAGATGTATTATCTAGAAAATCAATATGTGATTGTTCTTCACGAAGAAAGACTAAATTTGAGAAATAACAAATGATACTTGCTTAGATGCATTAATTTTAATGCTTCAGTATGAACTACAATATTTGTTGAATATCACTGTGCTATTAATTTTGGAATTTCATATGAAATCTTTGTCTACTTAAAATTATGTGTTGACAATTTCATTCTCTTTAGTAATTATATTCTTTAAAAGAAATGACAGAAAAGTTTAGGATATCTGACTTTATCCAATATTCTTCTCACATTGCCTCTTTCATTTAACAGATTTCATGCAGCAATCCACTTCAATAAAATATATATAATCATCTGTCTTTAAAAATTTATTAGTATAGTTGAGCTTCCTTTATTAGTAGAATCTTGTCAAGACTTGAAATTCCATGATGGGTTAATTAAGAAAAATTATTCTGAGAGATACATTATCAAGCTTGATAAGATCACCCATCTAATTACAGAGGACTCCCTTGTGGCTTACCTACATTGGTACTTTAATTACTTCAAGAAAAGATAATCCCCTGTTCTATTTCTTACAGACCCATTAATGGTATGTTACAACAGAATCAGGTGTCTATTAAGAGTCTAGTAGTAAAAAAAAAAAACAAAAAAACTGATTCCTTGTCATTTTTAAACAATAAACCTGATGCCATGCACTCTCTTTGTTGAAGATAATTTCTCACATAAATTTTCTACTCAACTTTATGTAAAGAAGAAAGTTTGTCATAAATAAAAAATCATAACCCCTGCCTCACTAACCATATCCCAGCATTCACTTTAATATAATCACCTAAATGCTCATATTGTGATAAGCATCACAGATCATCATCGTATGGGTGACTAATAACACATTGAGGTTGCCATCATTTGGTCTCAGGTTAAAGTTTCTTTAATGTCTCTTGTGGGTCAAGCAATTGTCAAACTGAGGATAATGTCTCTCTCTCTCTCTCTTTCACTCTCTCTCTCTCTTTCATTCTCAGAATGCTTCCACACATTTTTAGCAAGCTCCTTAACTTTTATCAGCTTAAGAATTTTCCTATTCACTTAATTAGTCATTGAAAATTAGTCAGGGGACCATATTTCTTGGGTACTCAAGTTTGTTTTAGCATTATATATTGAAGAATATATAAAAGAGCAAATATAATCCTCTGTATAACTGATTACATTTCTATAAAACTTCAGTGCAAGAATTCAATATGAACTCAAGCCCAATACTAGGTATATTTCTTTCTATATTTGCATATCATCATCAATAGTAATAAAGCCATTATATTAAATTAAGAAACAGACACAAATCCCTTAATGAATTTTCTCTGGGTCTTCATTGCTTTGAAGTAAAGTGAAAATGGGTTGCGAGAAAACAGGGGAATCAGTTCAGGAGTAATAAAGTATTTCAAGATTGTAATCATCTTCAGAGTATTTTATTTTCCCACAGTCACAAAAATCAATGAAGCCTCTCTCAGGGTTTGGAACCTACTAGTTATTGCTATTCTTGGCAGTAGATAATAAGCTTATAATCTGTAGGCATTGCAAGTGATCCAAGACATTTGAGAAGAGGAACAACCCCTTATCTTCCATTTTTCATGAGTGGACAATAGCAAGAGAAACAGAAGTTATTAGAAAAATAGAAAGCAAGACAGAGAAGACATAATTTGACTTTATAACTTATTAGAAAACTCCTTAAATTCACAGTGGCTCACACCTGTAATCCCAGCACTTTCGGAAGCTGAGGCAGGCAGATCACCTGAGGTCAGGAGTTTCAGACCAGCCTAGCCAACATGGTGAAACTCCGTCTCTACTAAAAAAACAAAAAAGAAAAAGAAAAAAGAAAACCCCTTAAATTCAAGACCACCTACTCTCTCTCTATACACACACACACACACACACACACAATATATATGCACAAGTATATATACACACATACACATCATATGTCCATCACAAGGCAAGACACATATATGTGTGTGTGTATATATATGTATGTATGTGTGTGTATATATATACCTATATATGTATATATGGTTATATATCTTACATATCTATATATAGTATATATATCTTACCTTGAGATGGACATATGGTGGCATATATATACACACACGAAGGTATGTCAGTATGTGCATATATACCCAAATATATGTGAGGATATTTATGTATGTGTGTGTTTGTGTATGTGTGTGTATATATGGGGTGTGTGTGTGTTTGTGCAGGTGTGTAAAAGACACAGTGCTGGTCCCCAGGGGATGAAGAGTGAAAAATGATATAAGCCTTGTTTTCAAGGAGGCAAGACTTTATTAAGGAACATACACAATAAAAATGCCTAATAGAAGTCCTTGTGACTATGTTGAAAAATAGCGCAGAGTTGATGGATTCTACCCAGGGTCAAGGAAAACGTCATCTTCAAAGGAGACATAAATATTGGGTGGAATATGAATGCGAGTTCTTAAATGGAGTACAGTATGTAGTGAGGACAAGTGTGTTGTGTGAAGAAAGCTCTGTGAGTACTTCTAGAGAATTATCCAACTTGAGGGGCATTATGAAAAACCCCTAGATTTGTACCCAGTTGGTCCAAAATGTGAATAATCAAGGGATCCCCCACTTGGTGGATGGCACTTGAGTGGGGACAGTGTTGTTGAGGACCATTCCCTTAAACCTGTGGAATCTAATGCTACCTCAAAGTGGCTAGTGTCAGATTTACATTCTATCATGGTGTGACAGTTGTAGTCAGAAAATAGATTCTCTTTTACTTAATGGTATGTTGTGATGATTTGTGAATAAGTCTGACTGAACTCCAAGGTGTCAGGAACACTGGTGGCTGATACAGTGTGTTGGAGTTTAATTTTTTACTTGTCATCAAATTGGGCATTTTTTGACTTTACCTACAATTGGTTCTCCTTCAAAACAATAGAAATTATCAATTAATATGGTCTTGATATTCAAGAAAATGAAAAAGCATGAGACAAAAAAAAAAACACCTAGTAGCTGAATCTAGTTATGAAGATAAACTACATGGTAGTAGAAATGTTTGTCAGATAAAAATAATCATTAGAATACAAGATTTAAATAAGAGCATAAACTGGATGGAAGCTAAAACCTGGCACCCTTTTCTTTAGCACATTAGAAAAATGAAAACTTGCAAGATTTTTTGATCCATAGCCAATAAAACTTAACAATGAAAAAAAACTAAATCACTTTAGAAAGGACCATCAAACAGATTTAAGATTACTCCAGAGTCAAACTGTGTCTGAAAAGTTTTTGGCAATTGTTTAAGGACACATAACTGTGGGCAATCAGAATGTCTCCTGGTAAAGGAAAAATAAAGTCGCTGTATTTTTGAGAAACAGAAAAATGGAAGTTTTGAAAATAACGGCTTGTCAAAAATTAAAAATTTCTAATTTCCTACAACACTTGAAAAAAAAAAGGAAGCGTAATTTTAATATCTAGAAAACAATTTTTTCCCTCCGGTGAAATCTCAGATGACACTGGCCTATTGTTGGCTTAGTTTCACCTGCAACTATCCATTTGTGATCCATGACAGCGTTTGCTCTGCACTCCTGTTCCACCAACCCAGCTTTTCCAATTACATTAGCATTCAGTTTAATCCTCTCTGTTTTCTACTTGCCTAAGGATAAAATCCTAGCTTGGAATCTCTTCTTGGAATCCAAACCTCACAACATTCTGGCAGATCTCAAACTCTCGGAGCCACTCCCCTTAATAGCTAAGGTTTATTCTCTTAATTAACTTGACTTTTCACCATTCCACAAACATGCCATACTCTATGACTCCACTTTGGCCCAAGTTATTCTTTTTGAAATTAAAGATGTGTACTTTGTCCTTTGTCTAATAATCTCTTATTCCATGTAAATTTCCATTTACTTGTCACATTTCCTATAAACACACTGAACCTGTAGTCATATATAGAAAAAAAATGCTTATTGCATAAAAAGCAAATGACAATAAAAACATCTAAATTAAATATATAAAATGCTTTAAATTCATGATTGCAAGTATATAGATGCTTATTGCGATATGCTATGTTTTCTTGTACAGTTGATTTTTTTTAGTTTAAAACCAAGAAAAAATCAATAGTAAAAGTCCATAATAATACTGATTGCCTCAAGTAATCATTGATAACAGTTCTGGTATTTTTTTCCCATTCAGTTTATTTAAAGTATTTGTCGTTTTTATAAAATTGATCCTAGTAGCTCTAATGTTTTTTTCTACTATTGCCATTAATCATACTCAAAAAAAACTTGTGCAAAAAAACTTGTTTTATACTTTTTGTCTAGAAAATCTTTAAAAATTAAGTGTTTAAGAAACAATCTAACTCTTAAAATGCAAAAATATGCTCAACATGACCAATGCAGGTACTTAAAAGAGAAATGTGTATATGTCTTTGAAATTATATATCAAAAGCTCTCTGATTAGTGTTTGATTGATGGGTACAAATTTACATATTGATCATTATCTCCATTCTGTGACTTTCAAAGTAATAGACAATTGTGTGCTTATCTCTAAATGTGTTCCTTAATCATATAAGTACATAACTGAAGAGTTAGAGGGGATCCTTGGGAATTTCAGTGACTTTTGTTGTATAAATAACTTTGCATTATTAATATTATTTTCAAATGCAGAATGAAATTATTTAAATTATATATTCTCCAAAAGCACATTGTAAATGGATTTGGAGTGATCATATTTTTGTCCACTAGAGGAAGTGTCTATAAAGGCAATGGGGAGGGACTACAAGAAAATGAATGATCACAAGCATAAATATAAAAGATGTTGCCCTGTATTTTAAAATTGTAATTCTGCATATTAGCACTACTTGCCACACAGCCGTTAACACCGAGGAGACTAATTATGTCTATTAATACATATGGAACACACGTGGATTTTGTTTTTCAGTTTGCTATTGCATTGTGCTGTCACACTTACATATGAAAGTTTAAATAGCTGGTTTTCTAGCTAAAATTTCATAAACTCTGCTATCACAATGTTTTGCCATTAGGTAGCTCAATAGATTCTGCTTCCAGTACAAATGGTTTTTGCAAATTAAAATTACAGAAATCAATCATCTACTATTTCCTTGCTCAATTACAGTCTTTGCTAAGACAATATGATTTATAAAATTAGTTATTATATGATTGTAATATGCTTTGGAAATTTTACATTAATTCAAAATAGAAATCAGGTGTAATAAGTACCAATATTTGATAGCCTCATTTATATTAATTATTTCAGCTCTCTTCAGTATTTGCTAAGCTAAAATTCAAAACTCAGCTGGGATTTTGCTTGATGACTTGTCAGTTAACTAACAATTCTCAGTAAAAAATGATACAATCCAATATATCATTATAAGTTAATTGCCACACATTTCACTGGACAGTGATCAGACCTCCTGGTACATTTTTTAGTAAATCCGGTCCCAGCTCTGGAAAGCCCCATCTCCCCACCCTCTGTTAAAACCAAGCTTATGGTCTTGCCTAACAATTTAGTGGTAAAATGGGGGCAAACACATAAAATTCATCTTTTGGTTTTATTATGCCCACCAATCTGCCTTATCTGTAATCATGTTTTCTCATTTGTTTTGTATGAACAGAAACATCTGTATCCATCAGAATTTGATCAGAGAAGCAGCACAACTACAAATGATGAAGCAGGAGAGGTTTACAACAGAGATTAGTGGAGCTGATGGAGAAGTCGAGGCAGGACTATCGTCTTGTGTCTGGTATTGTGCGTAAAGTCACAACAGGTCTGCCAGACCAGCTGTTGGGAAAGGGAAGCCTAATATAGCAAGAACAAGGACAATTAGAACAGGTGGGGAGTACTGGGACCCACAAAGACAAACCCTAACTCTTAAGTGACTCTCACCAACTCCCAACCCAGTGCTATGAGAGGTTTTCAGGAGAAGCTGCGGTCCTTTGGAGCTGGACACGCAGGACTCAGTGAAGCTGATTCAGGAGATCTTGTCAGAACCGTTTCAATCAACCTTCTATCTAAATGCTCAGTAAAAAAATTAAAATGTTAGCTTTAATTCACGTCTTCTTTTTGTCTAAACATATTCTTCTTCAAGTCCTGTTATTACTGCTACAATGGAATGTGAAGCTGCCCATTTCTCTCCAGATAAGCAATTACTATCTGGTTCCAAGTTGTGAGCATGTTTCAACCATGAACGTAACTTTCATAGTCCCAGTTTTGAGCCATCCCACCTCAAAAACATAGACTCCACACAGTGGCCTTGCCCTAGCCCCAAATTCATCAATGATTTTCCTTGACATAGTGAAATCTGAAGTCCTTCCCTGAGCTCCAAATCTCAACGCCACTCCCTTAATCTAAAAATGTATCCATTCAGCCTCACCCCCTTCCACTTTTTTTGACTTTATTTCACCCCTGCCACCTTAGCTTCCTTTATATTTTGAAATAATTCTGTGTTCTTTATCATCATAACTCAGTTGTTTTACCTTAAGCCAGCAGCTCTTCTGTCTGCATGATTCTTTATCTTTCAAGTTTCATTTCAATATAATCTGCTTGCAAATTAATTTTCTAATTACCATGTTTTTGGTAAACATTCCCCATCTCTTATTCTTCTACACACAGACACATACACATACACTTACTCCCTTCTCTATCTTCTTCCTCGGCCTTATAATAATGTAACTTATGTTTTCATAAACAAACCTTAAAAACAGAACCTGACAGAAAACAGTCAATATATATTTGTAGAAAGACAAAATTATCGCTTTTATTTGTATTCATTTTATTAATTATAATGCTTTAAGTCATTTCACATATTCATTTGCAGTTGGTAAGTCTTCTGTATGTTGACAGCTGAATTAGCCCATTTGTTTCTTTCTTGTGTTCTTTGTTTTCTTTAAAGTGCCTTACTTATTTGTGAAGGCTAAGAATACCTTAAAATATTTATCTTTAGGCCGGGTGCGATGGCTCACGTCTGTAATCCCAGCACTTTGGGAGGCCGAGACGGGTGGATCACTTGAAGTCAGGAGTTCGAGAACAGCCTGGCCAACATGGTGAAACCCCATCTCTACTAAAAATACAAAAATTAGCCTGCCATGGTGGTGGATGCCTGTATTCTCAGCTACTCGGGAGGCAGGAGAATCGCTTGAACCTGAGAGGCGGAGGTTGCAGTGAGCCAAGATCTCACCACTGCACTGCAGCCTGGGCCAAACAGCCAGACTCCGTCTCAAAAAAAAAAAAAAAAAATTATCTTTAATCTCTCAAACATGTAACATATTTTTCATCATTTAAAAATATTTTACAGTTTTGTCATAGATATTTTACATCTTCTAAATCAAATTTATCTTATACTTTGACTTTTCTGACATATTTCCTATGAAGTTATTTTTCACCACAGTAATATAAAGACCTTGACTAAAATTATCTAGTCATCACACAATTTTATAATTTAAATTTGTATCATTAACACGTGTGATATATTTTGCTATATGATATGTGATGGAGCGCCAGCATTTTTTAAATTTATCTATATTTGTTGCCAATGATCTAAATAAATTTTTTGTTTTATTGATCTGTCTTATGTGAGAATCTTAAAGTTTTAGTAAGTATATCTTCAAATTCATCTCCGGCATCTTACACTTTTTTCCAGAACTTTCCCGATTACTATCATATATACTCTTCCAAATGAAATTAAAACAATTTGAAATAACTTTAGAAGTGTATAATTATGTTTCTAAGTATTGATGAATTACTTAGATATTTGTTTCTGTCTTTTTGTTGTTGTTTGCTATGGTTTACAAAATAAATTATCCTTTTGTTAGATTTTGAAACATTGGAGTTTTTCTATCATCTGTATAAAACTGTCTTTCTTAAATGAAATCTTTGTAAATAACTCTTTATATACTTTCCTTAAAACGACAATATGGGAAAAGTGTGTCACCTAAGCTATTTTCACATTTGTCTAAATTCAGATTCATATTTTTATTTCCAAGAGAAGGTGCTTATCATAAACTCAGGGAAGGACTGAAATAAACTTAAAATTAAAAACAGCCATATAAATTTAGGCTTAATTTTTAAAAATAATTTAAATATAACATAGAGTATATAACACCTAATCACAATACCAAGTAGGATTTTTATTATAGCTGTCCTCTCATTTACAGCATTATAAGACATAAGTCAAATAATTAATTGTACACGTAACATCTGTGTCTTCCATTACACTAACCATTACTAGAGATTAAGAACCTACTGGGGTTCCTTTGTATCATTTAATACTACCTTCAGAGTACAGACCACAGATCCAGACACACAGGCTCTTCAATAAATATTTGTTCAAAATGTGAAAAAGTTAATGAATAAACCTATAAATTCATGCTTAGGTTGAAATGATTCTGAATAAAAATTAAGTACTCCAGGAGCTTCTTGCAAATGTGGTTTAATGTTTGTCAAAGGGATTTTTTTCTAGAAACTAAAGATATCTTTAAATTATCACACAAAGGAATTTTCATAGAAAAATACAAAGATATTAAAACACATTTATATATGATTTATGTTTATCTGGAACATGTTATAACTTCTTCCATGTGAGTATAAAATAAACAGGAGTGTGAAATTCACTTGGAAATATATTCTTAAGTAAAAATTGGTGGAAAAGAGAAAGCATCAAAAATTACCTCTTTTCTACTTCTTTTTCTTAGCCACTGACATTCTGAATTTTGAAACTGAAGGCAAATCAATTTAATAAATATTTGTCATATCTTGACCTTAACAAAGATAGTACCATAATTCTTGCAAGTTATGAAACTCTGCGCACACAGATGTTTTGAAATGCATTTGAGGGAATATGCAAACATAAAATCAATGAATTAATATGGTAATTATCCTGGAGGCTGTGCAAGTCTATGGTTGCAGACCATTATCCAAAACAGCCCTATTCTATTTCTAAGCTCCTCTTTCTTCTACAAAGATACAATTCAGTTTGTAGACAAGGTTAGTATTTAGTGATGAAGCATCTTTGCCAGTAACTTATCAACCATTTATCTGAATATTTGGTTCACTTTGGCATTATAGCAGTTACACTAACAGGATGAAATAGCAGCCTGTCTCAAATAGTTCTGCAGTGGTCAAATAAAACAAATTTAATAAATAAGGATTTTTGAGAGTCATTTTTCCTAGTCTTTTTTTTTTCAGTAACAGAATAAGCCATTATAATTGAATTCAACTTTATTATCCTCTTCCTTGATTTTCTCTTTTTTTGATCAGTATTTAGCTGAATCACCTTTGTGGTTCCAGCAATATCTTTTGGACCAATTTATTAATAATAGTTTAATAAAGGTTCAACAATTTACAAAAGTCCTGTTGTTTAGGATTTTATTTTACATTTTAATTCTAAACTATTACGTTAGGGGGTAGATATTTATTAGTTTAGTGGAGGCTAGAGTAGAATAATTCTTTTCTAACCTCTCTGGCTGAGAAGAGTATTATGAGGCTTAGAAAATGTAATTCCTGCCCCAGTTGAATTTGGGCTTTCCTCGATTCATGATTTCAAATGGCTTACCTTGCCTTTTGATTTCTTTCTCCCCTGAGCTAGCTAATCAAATCTCTTCATCCCAGCCCTCAAATCCTCTGGCTGGTGTTCATCACACTTCATTCTCTTCTATTGCTTTGTCTTTTTGAAAGTCCTCTTGCTATTTCTTTCTTTACTTTGCAGTAGCACTTCAAAGTTTTGCCCATATCCCCTCTACAGGAAAACATCATCTCAGTTTAATTATTTAGTAAAAAAGACTAACAGAAAAGGAGTTCAAACACTACAGATTCAGGAATGCATATTCCATTTAAACAATCATACTGCCTCTGTCTCTGAGGGGAAATGCTCTCTCAGACGTTCAGTTTCCTTTCTGTGTAGTGAGAATGCAGGTAACTTTTCCCCAGCTTCCCAGATTCACAGGAGAAAAGGTGGCATAAAGCACGCAAAAACCATTAGGCTTTGGAACCAGAAAAACCAGTTTTCAAATGTCTGTTTTATTGTTTATAAATCAATTTTCTTGGGGGAAAAAGATTTTCTAAAAAGGTGAAATCATGTAGATTAAAATAAATAGATTTTTAAAATTTTATTCTTTTCATTAATGAGAGAACCAGGCGAATATCATAATGTGTTCAAAAGATAATCCAATGACATGTCAATGTAGATTGTATAGATATGTGGTTTGTGTATATGCACACATTATACCTATTTATACATACTAACATACACATACATAAGGAGATAAATATATATGTATATATGTGTACATATACCCACATATCCACACACATCAAGAGTATTGGAATTTGGGTTTCTGCATATCCAATTCAGATTTGCCATTATTGAAATTAATTTTTGACATTTTTGAGAATACTTTCAGACCCTAAGGTGAATGGATTTCATTTTTAATTACTGAATTTGAATATAGATAATAAACTTAGGAGTGAAATACTACTGAATACATTTCCAATTTTCCTGCACAGTGTTTCATCAATATTATAGTGTTGTCTTTGCTGTTTTAATAGCAATATATCATTTCCTTTGGTCTATATTCTCAGAGGATGCTTTGAAAATTCCCAGTTTTATCTACTTATATTAATAATTGTCCTTGAGAATAACATGCCTGGCTGCGGATTTTTAGCAGATCCTTTACAATGTAGAAAATTATCAAGGTGATGTTTAAGAAGAGAAATAGTTGTACCAATTTCAATATTCTGATTAATTAATACATCACTGGAAATATTAAATACCATTTATATTTGTTATGAAAGCTCCATGGGCAACAAATATATGCAGTATTAAGGCAAATGCTGATCTTGTTATCTACAATTTGACAACATTCCTCCAAAGACCACATGTACTTGTTAGAAAAAATGCCATTTTCTGAGATGTAGATGTGGAGACTCATGAATATAATAAATCTGAAAATGTTGAACTTTGCAGGAGCCCTATGACTCTAGAAAACAGTCAAGGTGAGGAATTTGCTCTGTTCTTCTGTGCTCTGGAAAAGGCATAAACCAAAGGAACAGCCCTCCCCATAAGACTTAGATCAAAGATGTGGGGCCTTCTTTGTTTAACCTACTACAAGTTCAGACGCATAACCTTCAAACTCCCATTCTTTGTTTCATAAACGATGAACTAAACTTCTTGTCCCCACTGATCAATAAAAACAAAATGCTTGATAATCAAACTTCAGTTAAGTTTCTCTTCTTCAAGGTCCCTGAACTTTAACCCACCCTCAGCCTAAGCCATACAACTGTCCCTCTTGAGAACAGGCTGGCATCAGAATAAAACATCCTCTGATCAACTGTTTGATAATACTATGCTTTCATCCCACTTCCACACACCTGGTTCTTTTTAGCCTTATTTACTCCTCCCTATAAAAGAAAATCCCTTTTTGTCTAATTCTTGAGATACTTGTAGATCTTATCATGAGAGAATTTTTTCCTATTGCAATAGTCTGTTCAACCCTCTTTGCAAAAATTCTTTTGAATAAAGTCTCTACTTATGAAATCCCGATTTGATTTTTGTTTGATATCTCATAGACTGTTAAATATTTGGGCATTTTGATTTGGAATAGTTTCTGAATATCATAATGGCCCTATTATTATTAAAGCCTGGTATAAAAAGGTTCTTGAAGAGGAGCTGGAATAAAGTAGACACCCACTAAAACGGTAGCTATGATGATGAAGATGTTGATGTTGTTGATATTGCTGTTGCTGCTGCTGCTGCTGCTGCTGATGATGAAGGAGGGAGTATCCTCTTGGATCTAAATTTAGAGCTCAGAAGTCAGGTCTGCATGCGATATTTGAAAGACAAATTAGGAAAGAAAAGAAAAACTCAACTGCCACTTGAGACCTCCAGTGCATGAGTAAAAGATCAATGATTCACTATTGCCTAATAATTGCCTGCCCATTATAAACTGTTACTAGTGTGCTCAAAAATGGCTCCCCAGAGGAAGCCCATGGTCCAATGTGCATGTTTGATTCTTTTTGGACAATTATACACACATAGTTATATATAGATAGGTAGATAGATAGATAGATATAGATATATGTAAAGTCATTACGTGTGTGTGTGTGCATGCACATGTGCATAAAGTCATTCCACTTCTTAGTGACCTAGGCATGGTACTGGCATTTATCCAGGCACATGACTGATACTTATTTAACTTTCAGAAACTCTGTTAACTAATTAAATAATTAAAAATATCACTTTATTCACAGAAATATGACTCTTATTTTAACTCTTTCTAGGAAATCTATAGGTTTCACAAGTATATTTTTATGAAAACTTAAACAGATTAAGTGGGGAGGAATTCTCTACTAAATTAGGCAATTTCAGGTGTCCCTAGAGAGCTGATAACTCGGCAACACGTGAGGATTCTCTTACAAACTGTAAAATGATCTAAATGTATTCTGTTTTTGAATATAATAACTTACAAATGCATATTTACTATGTTCTATAAAAATAAATGCAAGTAACTGCCAGATCTAACAGAGCATTGTATGTGTCTCTACCAAAGTCAAAAGCATGTTGATTAAGCACAGTGCTTGACAAAAAGGCAAGGTTAACTCATTTCTGGGGTGTAAAGAAGAATACCCATAACCAATTTATTTTTCCCCACAGACCATGCTTGATAGGCTAATAGTATTACAAAGCTGCCACACCATTCACTACACTTTAACTCACATCCAAATCATTTTCAGAGAACCCACATAGAAATGTGAGTAAAGTAAAGGGCTATACTCTAAATGCAGAATAATACATAGTTTTTTATTTAACTATGTACTCTTGGGTTGTGTCATAATAAATGGAGATGGAGAGACAAAATGATATATTCATATTGTTGTATAGTGTGTAAGTGGAGAACACAAGAACACTGACTAATACACTATACCACATTATTAATGAAAATAAGAGATTGGTTAATCTATCATCTATCTATCTATAGATCCTATCTATCTATCTATCTATCTATCTATCTATCTATCATCTATCAAGAGACAGATACAGAGACAAAGACAGAAAGAGGAGGGAGATTTACTATGAAGAAGCAGCTCACACAATTATGGAAGTCAGGAAGTCCCACAATCTGCCATCTGCAAGCTGAAGACGCAAAAGATCCAGGGTTCTAATTTCAGTCCAAGTGCAAAGACCTGACAAGCAGGTGAGCCAATGGTGTAAATCCCAGTCCGAGGGCAGGAGAAGACTAATATCCCAGCTCAAAGCCAGGTAGAAAGAAAAAGGGATAAATCCCTCTTTGCTATGCCTTTTAGTTCTATTCAGGGCCTCAAAAGATGTTATAATGTCCACTCACATTGGGGAGAGAAATCGGCTTTACTGAGTTCATGATTCTAATACTAATTTCTTCCAAAAACATCTTCATAAACACAGAGAGAAATATGTTTAATCTCGGCACCCTGTGCAGGAGTAAAGTTAACATATAAAATTAACCATCACAGTTAGCTACAAGAGCTAAGCTTAACAGTCACATTGCAATCACTGTCTTTCATGTATGTGAGCACTATATACATGTCTCTTTAGTGTAAGCCATTGTGGAAGTGTCAGCAGACTTTACTCATTTTCTTTCTTCTTTTACTCTCTCAATTTTTTTCCTTCTCCTTTCATTTTGCCTTTCTTTTCTTTCCTCCACTTATTGCCTTTTTCTTCTCTCCCTTTTTTCATCCTTTTTTCTTGGTTTTTCTTATTTTTCTGTTTATTTCCCTTTTTTTTTTTTTGCTTTCTTGATATTTACCCAAAGGAGTTGAAAACTTGTATCTACACAAAAACCTGCACATGGTTGCTTATAGCAGCTTCATTTATAATTGCCAAAACTTGGAAGCAACTAAGATGTTCTTCAATAGGTGAAAGGATAAACAGACTGTGGTACAGCCAGACAATGAAATATTATTCAGTGCTAAAAAGAGATAAAACCATGGCAGAAACTTAAATGCATGTTTCTAAGTGAAATAAGTCAATCTGAAAAGGCTACATACTGTATGATTCCAATCATATTACATTCCAGGAAAGGCAAAAATACAAAGAGAGTAAAAATATTGGTAGTTGCTAAAGGTTAGAGGCGAGGGAGGGACAAACAGGCAGAGAACAGATGATTTTTAGGGCAGTAAAACTATTCTGTGTGGTACTATAATGGTGGATCATTTCATTCATTATACATTGTTCAAACCGATAGAATGTACACCACCAAGAGTGAATTCTAATGTAAACAACGGACTGTGGCGATTTTGAGATTTCAATGTAAGCTGAATTTCAAAAAATGTACCACTCCAGTGTGGATGTTGATAATGGGGGAGGCTATGCATGTGTGGGGACAAGGAGTATTATGGGATATCTCTGTACTTTCCTCTCAATTTTGCTGTGAACCTAAAACAGCTCTGAAAGATAATGTCTTATATATAAACCAAGCCCAGACACAAAAGGACAAATATGTGATTCCACTTATATATGCGATATCTCAAACGGGCAAATTTACAGAGACGGAAAAACATTAGAAGTTACTAGGATCCAAGAGAAATGGGGGATAAAATAATATTGCCTTATGGGTACAGTTTCTGTTTGGGGTAATGAAAAATTTTGGGTAGACAGTGGTCAAAGTTGCAAAACTTTGTAAATATGATTAATGCCACTGTATTGTACATTTAAAAATGGTTAAAATGGCAAATTTTATGGTGCACATAACCACAATAAATAAAAAAAATCAAAAAGCAAGAAAAAATAATTTTAACGTACCAAACGACATTTTACTGACAAGTATTTCATAAACAGTTAAGAAGGATGAAGCCAATAATCAATGCCTAACAGCTCACTGACCTTGGAAACAGAACTCCCCACCTGCTTTACTATGCCTTTTGAAAATCTTTGCACTGTAGTCCTTTGGCCATATTTGGAGTGACATTATATGCATCACACTCTTGAAGTAGATATTACTAAAACATTCTGTGTGCTCATCCTCTACCTTGATCATTGCTGCTACTCTAGTGTTGTGTGACCAAAATGCTGAATTCACTGCATTTGTTAATCCAAAGGCAGGTGTGGAATTCTTCCTTGGCAAGGAAACATCTATGTATAGGTCTGTCTCCTGGTTAGATGGGTATTTCTGTGAAATTTGACAGGTGAAGCTCTTCACTAATAGGTTCTTTACATCCTTCCACAAACAAATACCTTTGATCCATTCTTTGTTTCAGTACACATTTAGACACTGTGCTAATGTGTTTGGAATAGGATCATTACTTAGAAATTGAGAGATAAGAATTCTAGTTTGGGCTTTGGTACAAGGTAAGTGACCTTGGTAAAAACATATGTTTCTCTTGGCCTTAATAGCCCTTTTGCTAAATGAGGGTTTGGCTTAGCTTAGTAATTGACAAACGTGTTAGCAGCAAAAAATCCTTGCACGCATATACAAACAAGTGAATCTGTTCTGTTTGACATTTCCCCATTCCCTTTCTTCACCTATGAAGCACCAGAGCAAAAGCATTGGACTCAACGGTATTTAACGCCTATACTTTCATGTAGCAATCCTCTTGAGAACTGATTGTGATTGTCTTCATTATATATTCAAACATGTATATACATACACACTAGAGATATCATTAAGAAAAAACTTCAATATAGTATTTTTTATTAAAATTGAATTCATATAAAATAAACTTAACTTTTTAAAAGTGAAAATGTAGTGGCATTTAATACATTCATGATGTTGGACAACCACCAACTCTATTTAGTTCTAAAACATTTTCATTATATTTGTTATTTTTAAATGACTTTTCCTGTACATTAAATAATATATTTTAAATAATGTAAAAAGATAGACAGTGATGGAAACCAAAATTAACTTGTATAGCAGAAGGCTAAAATTAAAATTTTGGAGCAAACGTACACGTACACACACACACACACACACACACACACACACACAAATTTAATTAATATCATCGATCCCTCATTATTATAATGGAAAATAATAATAACCCAAACTAACAACCTAATCTATTTGGATGTTCAAGTTCAAATAGCATTTCAGATATAAAAATATAGAAATATTTATAATCTAGAAATACATATTATTGCCAAGAAGCAGGACAATATTTAAAAAGCTGAGGGAAACCCTGAGTCCCCTTAACAGACTTTGGATTAATAAGATGTAACACAACCTAAATATAGTTTTATTTAGAAGCCCAACATGATTTCACAAACGTTTAAAAATAAAATAATATTAATGTATTACTTCCAAGAATGCCCCTGTAGACCTTTCCCTAAGACAGTATGACCCTTCCCATGATTAAGAAAATAGTAACATAAAGAGAGGAATACGTATAACAGTAATTTTTAGGCAAAATTATATAGAACTTTGGGGGAGGAACTGGGAATTAACCAACATGAAATCAAGAGAGATAATTAAAGATGAAAAGGTGTTCCTTGTTATGTAAATAACAATAGTCAAGCCTACATGTTTAAGGATTTTTGGAGCACTCTAAACTTTTGCTTCCTCAACTGTCTTTGGTCAGCGTATTGATCCAGAAGTTGTGTATTACAAAGCTGTACGTCTATATTGGCTCTCTTATTCTACTGATCAACATGACGCCAAAAAAAAAAACCACGATTTTTTTTAAGGTCCTCCTAGTACTATCTCTGAGTGAGGAGTAACCAATCTGCTGACAAAATATTTCCCTTTCTGAACATGGATGGTAGACACTCCTCCTTGCCAGGAGACAGAGTGTTGGAACAAGACATCAATACCATTGTGCATTATAATTTCTCCCAACTTGTTAGGATTCTGTAAATATTTCCTCATGACATTAAACGTTCTTCTATGAGATCATTTTAATGACTAAATCATCTTTTATCATACGGTTGTTACTATAATTTATTTAGTAAAACTGAGGACTTTGAACTGGTATTTCATGAAAAAAAATACCACCTTCATAGGTGGTAAATGATGACAGAACAAAACTACTTGGAATTGGCTGAAATTTAGGAAATTTAGGATGTATTTCCATGGCTTTCTGACCAAATCCCATTTTAGTTTTGTTTTTGTTTTTTTTTAATCATGTTCTGCATTAATGGTTTTAACCTGGAGGTAGTTTTCTCCCACAGGATATTTGGCAATGACTGTAGACAATTTTAGTGATCACAACTGGGGTGGGAGGTAGGGAGGGGGTGTTAACTAGAATTAAGTGAGAAGAGACCAAAGATGCTCAGCTAAACACCCTACCATGCATAGGACAGCGCCCCCTACCCACAACAAAGAATTAGCTGGCCAAAAAGTGTCACTAGGGCTGAAATTGAGAAACTCCGCTCCACATGAACCACAAATAAAAGGAAGGTAAATATTTCAGATAGTCCACTTACCACATTGTCTTCCTCATAAACACATTTTGGATTTGGGTTAAAACGACTTTAAATTACTAAAGGTGATTTACATTTGTGTGGTGTAGAGACAATTTCAATCATCTTAATACAAGAGTGTGTTGGCCCTTGCACCTGTGCTTGGTCTATTCGCCTTTTCTGAATAAGCTTCCAAGTGTGCGCCATTACATCCTCTCTCTCTCTTTGAACCAGAAATTCAGGAGACGACCCACAGACCCTCTGAAGGAAGTGGACTGCTCCTGCAGGACCCGGGAGACACCACAAATACAGTGAGTGCCCAACTGTGGAAGTGGGAAAGGGAGACCCTCCTCTCCTGAACACACGGCCCCACAGGGGAGGCTGAAGGTCTGTTTGCGGATAAGTTTCCGACCTTACCTGGAGCTGAGCCAATTTTGAGAGCTGAAATGCAGGGGTAGAGGAAGCAGCAGAAACGCCCTGGGAGCTCGCTATGTCCCCTTGCTAGGGACATTCCTTCCTGGCACCACAGAGATCCATCAGGTGGGTGATCAAAGGAGCGTGGAGTATACTTCACAGGGAGAAGGAAATCTCTAGCTGAACTTTGTAACACTTTGAACAGGGTGAGAAGTCTCCTGGCCAGAACTCGAGGGAGGGCTCAAATCTGGTGTGCAGACTCCACAGGCAGGGGAAGAACTAAGCCCTTTTCTCTGGCAGCTGGAGGTGGGTAACCCGCGGCAAGTTTTCAAGCCCATCACACCCTCGACCTGGAAACAGACTCGGAGCTATTGGTGGGGGCATGGTGGGAGTGAGACCGGCCCTTCGTTTTGTATGGGAGCTGGGTGAAGCCTGTGACTTCTGGCTTTCCCCTACTTTCCTGATAACCGGCATGACTCAGCAAAGGCAGCCATAATCCTCCTAGGCACACAACTCCAGTGACCTGGGAATCTCACCCCATCCCCCACAGCAGCTGCAGCAAGACCCCCCTAAGGAGAGTCTGAGCTCAGACATGCCTAGCTCTGCCCTTGCCAAATGGTCCTTCCTTATCCACCCTGGTAGCGGAAGACAAAGGGCATATAATCTTCGGAGTACTAGAGCCCTGCCCACCTCTAGTCCCTCTCTATACTAGCTGATGCTTTCTGGAAAGCGCCACCTCCTGGCAGGAGGCAACCACACAAAAATAAAGCATTAAAGCATAAGAACCTTCATGGAGTCCATTGCATGGGCTAGCAGCCCTCGCTCGCTCTCCGCGCCTCCTCGGCCTCGGCGTCCACTCTGGCCGCGCTTGAGGAGCCCTTCAGCCCGCCGCTGCACTGTGGAAGCCTCTCTGGGCTGGCGGAGGCCAGAGCCGGCTCCCTCTGCTTGCTGGGAGGTGTGGAGGGAGAGGCGCGGATGGGAACCCGGGCAGCGCGCGGCGCTCGCGAGCCAGCGCGAGTTCCGGGTGGGCGTAGGCTCGGCGGGCGCCGCACTCAGAGCGGCCAGCTGGCGCCCCGCCTGCCTGGGCAGTGAGGGGCTTAGCACCCGGGCCAGCAGCTGCGGAGGGTGCGCAGGGTCCCCCAACTCTGCTGGCCCGCCCGCGCAGCGCTCGAATTCTCGCCGGGCCTCAACCGCCTCCCCGCGGGGCAGGGCTCGGGACTACAATCTTTTTTTTTTTTTTCTTGAGGCGGAGTCTGGCTCTGTTGCCCAGGCTGGAGTGCAGTGGCGCAATCTCGGCTCACTGCAAGCTCCGCCTCCCGGGTTCACGCCATTCTCCTGCCTCAGCCTCCCGAGTAGCTGGGACTACAGGCGCCCGCCACCGCGCCCGGCTAATTTTTTGTATTTTTAGTAGAGACGGGGTTTCACCGTGGTCTCGATCTCCCGACCTCGTGATCCGCCCACCTCGGCCTCCCAAAGTGCTGGGATTACAAGCGTGAGCCACCGCGCCCGGCCCGCATCTCTTGTTTGGCTCCCATGAACAACATCTTCCCTTTCCTGGCCTGCTGTTGCTCTGGCATGTGACCAATTTTTGTGAACATGTATGTGATCCAAATATTGACAGTTCACCATGCCACACCTTACCCCAGCCTCATCATAGCATACTCTAGTAAGTGGTCAATGTAAAGAAAAATTTTACCATGTTGCTTAAATGTGCTATTTTCAGAGAGATTGCATAACCACTAATAGTTAACTTGCTCTCATGTTTTTGGACATAAAACATTAGAATGGTGGTCAATATGTGGCCCACATGGGTCAATTAGAATCTGTAGAGACTTTGTTCATATTTTCTTATTCTTTTTTCTGTGTCTTTGTTGAATTGGGTTAATAGATTTCCAGTTGTCATTCAGAGACTCTAATTCAGGAACCAGACAAATAACTTACTTTTATGGAAAGGAAAGAGGTAACAACGGGAGATAGTGGCATATTAGAAAGTGTACCTCTACTTTCTAATTTGTGCCTGTTACTCAGCTTCTAAGGATGGTTGATCTCTGGAAACCATGTCAAGTATTTCTACATTTTCTAATCTAATTATTAAAAAAAAACTAGACATCATATTTCTCTAGAATTATCCTAGCGACTTGGGAGGCTGATATGGGAGAATTTCTTGAGGCCACGAGTTCAAGACCAGAGTGAGTAACATAGTAAGACTTTGGCTCTAAAAGATAGAAATAAATTTAAAAAATTAGCTGGGTGTCGTGGCACTCACCTATAGTATCAGCTGCTCAGGAGGTTTAGGTAGGAGTATCACTTGAACCCAGAAGTTGGAGGCTTTAGTGAGCCATGATCACACACCACTGCACTCTGAAAACAAACAAAGAAACAAACAAAAACAAAAAGAATTATCCTAATTTTGAGTTGTTGGCAAATTTTAACTTAGTTTAATTTAAATTTAATTGTTGGCAAATTTCGTGTTTTTGCCCCTGGACACTAGTTTCTAGTTTGCAACTTTTATTTCTATTTGGCTTATATTACCTTTTTTTTTCTTTTTTTTTTTTTTACCATGCGTGATATTTTTACAGCATATTTTTGCAAATTTTACCATAAACTATGCATAATCAATGTGCGTTGCTAGATCAAAAGTCCTAATCTTTGATCTACTGAAATAGCCATTGAGTTATCACTTATGAACACTAAAATTATATTTTGAATTAAAAGTTTTGATACCTTAGCCCAACAGAATAAATGATGTGGAATTACAAATGCTACAAGAGAATAGTAGGTAGAGATTTCTTACAGTGTGGGACATGAAACTTTTAAGCTTCCCTAAAAAAAACTAAGATTTGAATAATAATTTATAGTTAGTATTCTATGTCATAACACTAATGAATTTGTTACACAGAATAATCCACGTAAGGAGCTACTATTATCTATTTGATGAAGTAGAAAGTAAACTCGAAGACTTGGTCAATCTTACACAGATTTAAGTAAAAGCTGTAGAACCAAATATTAATGATCTAACTTTCAGCTTCAGATTTCGCCCATGATACAAGGCCAGTTGTATTTAAAACATATCCATTTTCATAAACCTGCCTAAGGGAAGTGGCAAAACAGCTAATTGACACAATGATTTTGAAACATGTTACCTGATTTTAGTTCCTCTGAAATATCACTTACAGATGAAGAAATGTTCAGTATTACCATCGTCTAACACTTCGACACTGAGGGAAATTGTAAGAAGGAGGGCCACAACGTGGCCTGACAATTGCCCCTGGCTTTTAATTTAATATTGTTTTTAACAGTATTAAATTTTTAATAAAATACATGCTGTGCTGGCAACTTACAACTATGAGCTATCCTGAGATTCAAATATAATGATGACCAACGGCAATTTCTTTCTTTATTGTGTGACATATGTGGGTAATTATATAACTTCCTCAAGGCAAAATGCTGTTTGAAAGGCTTACCTAAAGAAAACAAAACTATTTTTGTTCCTGAGTTGATTATAATTTGATTTTCGTTCAACCTATTCTCCTAATTAATGGTCTGAAAGAGATATTTGACTTTCCAAATTCGCCTAGTCCTTGTTCATGGATTTCACGTTGTGTAGACAATTGGAGAATTTTTTAATGCAGTTGGTGGAAACTGATTTCTGTTGGCCTTTAGGGAAAGCATAAACTTTTGCTTTTTGTTTTTTTCTCTTTCCAACCCTTGCAGGAAGAGATTCTAACATTATACTCCTGGTGAAGGTCTGTCCTTTACAAAGAGGCAAAAGTTGTTTCAGTCCCTTGGTACATTGACATGTACCTGTGAGATTCTCCAACATTGAAGGTTTATTTTCTCCCGTGGTTGGTGGTTAAAGACCTGCCTGGGGCCTCCTTCTTTCTGGGGTGGGCCTGAAACCTCAGAGCTAGGCAGAAATGTAGGTAGGTCCCAGAAAAAGTATCTACAGGATGAATGGCTTATCTTCTACTTTATATGATGAGAATAAAATATCATTTCTTATCTCCGCTCTTCCTTAGCGTCATCTTTCTTTGTCACTTTACATTAGGATAGTAGCAAATTCTTAGAGGCCATGTAAACAAAGTGTGGGCCTAAGGGATAACTAATAAGATAAGACTCAGTATTTATTCAAAAGGGGTCCTTACAGGTTTGGATATCTCACAGGATTGTGATGTGCAAATAGAGTTTGGGACTTTAAAATGTATGCATATATAGTAATACACAGAGCAAATTTACCTGGACTTTTTCTTTGGCCATATACCTACACATTTTTAGTATTCTAGAATTATATCTGCCATATTCTTTTTTCTATATTAAGCATAAGAAATGTGTGGATTAGTAAACTAGGGGCAGACATGCACAAAGTCCTGGGCTTTGTAAAGGAGTCTTACTCCTCAAGCAGTTTTCAGAGTTGCGTTTAACTATGGGCAAAATCCCATGCAAAATTTTTGTTCAATAGGACATTCTGGAAACCACTTAATTTTAAAAGAATATGTGTCTAGTTTTAGAGTTAAATTAGGCTTTCGTGGAAGCTCAAATTGCAATGACAACCACTATTCTCATGTGCAAATGTATGCATTTAGAAAGGATATTGAATTTTGTATCTAAGGTAATTAGTTTTTGGTAGGAATGGGATTCTTTACTGGAGATGCATTTACTGTGCTGATAGGTTGCATTATATATGGAGCATGGCACTATATCAATATATTTATAGCTATTTCAATTTTCATATTTACTGCTAGGATTGGAGAGGAGGTGACTTGCTTTTGACAATGTAGGTGTTTAAGGCTGATATTCATATTGAGACAAACATTATTCACTATCATATTGAGGCAAGCATTATTGATTCTCTGGAGGTTAGAAATAGAAGTATTTCCAGTTCAAAGTATTTATCCTCTCTCATCTATTCCAAGGATTCTAAAAAGTTTATCTGTTGTAAAAACATTCTCCAAAATAATTAGAATAATTATTCTATTAGATTTTTCTATTAGGACAATATAGCATGATCTTTCCTAAAATGTGTTTTCTTTGTTTCTGCCTTGAATCTGATTCAGCCTTTGAAATCAGGTCAAGAATTCCGATGTTCAAGATCTGGTCATTTATTTTGTTTTCAAACTCGAATATATGCAAAACCCTACCCATAACACTGAAGGGCTATTACCAATTCCCCTAACCACCAAATAGTCTTAATCCTCCATTTTGAGGAAGCATCAGTTCTATCCCAGCTCTGCTGCCCATAAAAAGATAGCAGCGCGAATCAGATTCTCTCTTCCCCACAGAACCAGGTTTCTTTTTTTTTTTTTTTTTTTTTTTTTTTTGAGACGGAGTCTCACTCTGTCGCCCAGGCTGGAGTGCAGTGGCGCGACTTCGGCTCACCGCAAGCTCCGCCTCCCGGGTTCACGCCATTCTCCAGCCTCAGCCTCCAGAGTAGCTCGGACTACAGGCGCCCGCTGCCACACCCGGCCAATTTT
Source organism: Homo sapiens (assembly GCF_000001405.40). Classification (NCBI taxonomy): domain Eukaryota; kingdom Metazoa; phylum Chordata; class Mammalia; order Primates; family Hominidae; genus Homo; species Homo sapiens. Next base: position 83,522,678 of record NC_000002.12, read on the forward strand.
TTGTATTTTTAGTAGAGACGGGGTTTCACCTTGTTAGCCAGGATGGTCTCGATCTCCTGACCTCGTGATCCGCCCGCCTCAGCCCCCCAAAGTGCTGGGATTACAGTCGTGAGCCACCGCGCCCGGCCCAGAACCAGATTTCTGAGACAGAATGATCAGGGTCAGAGATGACATTTAGGATGACAAGTTTAAGGGTAAGAATGTTGCCTATCCTGGGTTGAAACTGTTTCATACAAAGTCAAAGCAAAAACTTCAAGCGAAGTCAGAGAGAAAACTATTGCAAAGAGTTATACAGAAAGAGATGAGTTTTTTTAAACAAGCAAACTGAACAAAGGTACGTAATGGGGCAGAGTTTGTGTTCCTTGGTTGACATCCCATGGGTATTAACCAATATCATGTTAGTTCTTTGGTCCATTCACCTTTGGCTATAATGCAAGATTAAGATGATAGTTTCAACTTGGGAAACTTTGGAGTTTGCGAGTAGAGTTATTTGTATGCATCTATGTGCCCTTTGGAAGAATTTGTAAATGATTTGCTTAATAACTTCTAAAATCTGGCTTTGTTCTGACATTGCTCTTAGGTAATTGGTTGTTACAAGAGACAAGAAAGAGCAATAGTGAAAATAAACACAGGCACAAAGCAGAAGCATTTTCTTCCACTTCAACAGAGCTCCTATGCCTAAACAGGGCAGGGGAATTGTGGATGTCACAGTGCCGGTAACAGTAAAGCCAAGTGACATGAGTCTGTCTATGTAACAAACCTGCACATGTACTCCTGAATCTAAAATAAAAATTTAAAAAATAAATAAATGTTAAATTAAAAAAAGAGTACTCTCACGTAATCAGCAAGGTCATGATGCTATTGCCAATTGATTTTTCTTTTTGTCATATAATGACATTTGATTGAGACCATGATTTCATTCTATTACCATATAATTAATTTATAATTAATAGCTGCAATTTTGTCGATTATCAAACATTGAAAGCTGGGCATTATTAGTTTTATTGATGTTGAAACCTTTACTGCGAAACCTATAGAAACTTCCCCAGAGTGAGGTGGCTTTGATCCTAAAGTCCATGTTCTTTCCCTCAGACCACACATGCGCTCTTCAAGCCCATTCCACCAGCAGAGTTCCTTTCACTTATGGCAATTACTTTATCAGTTTAAATAGTTTGGCCATTTCTTTTGGAGAATGACAGAACATTCAGTGGCCTTTTAGTAGCTTTCTAGGCCAAAATCCCATCCATTGAAAGAATAACATCTTCGTATTATCTGAAGAATGGTCTTTCATCCTTGATCTGAACATGTCACATAATAAGGAAGTACAGTATTTCAAAAGGATGCTATTGTATTAAGCAGAAATCACATCATTTGAGTAACTATTTCCCTCTTTTCCTCATCCTGTTTTTTTGGTGCTATTTAAGAAAAAAATCAAGTCTTTCTTATACAAAACCTGTAAAATAATAAGCAATAGCTAAATCATTTCTTCTCTGAGCCAAACCTCTTTAATATCTTAAGCTACTCCTATGCCAGGAAACCCCTAGGAAATCTTCTATTCAAATCACAGGCATCTCAGTCACTTGCCAAGTAACATCCTTTCCTTCATCTAGAAAATAAAGGTTTCATAAAATGTCACTGAAGTAATTTATCTAAATTAAAACTAATAGAGGAAGTAGAAGCATGTAACGTTCTGCCAAGCTCTAACATCTTGATTTCTGTCTAGATAAATTACAAACATTCTCTATTTTAAAATTAATTTTAGTCTTCAATAGAGGCCACTTTTCTCAGGGTCTCAAATTAGGAAAGATATAACTGGATATCACTCCTATTTATCAGAATATAAAAGAAGGGCCAAGAAACCTCAGTCCTGAGAAAACAGAGAAAGGCCACATCCACAGATTGTGGTTCTAGATGATTCAGTCTAAGTTGAGATGCAGGAAGAAGGCTTCACTTCCTAAACATCGGCAACAAAGAAAGTTGCCATGCAAACATAAATCACAAAATCTTCTGTAGTAACATCTAATTATTATCTCATATTCATTCGTAGAAAATAAAAATGACATTTAAGAATAATTTTGATTTATGAACTTAATATCCTGAATGTTCTCATTGGTATATAAAAAGGACCAATTAATTAGGGCTTGGTCTTGTGTCAAAATACTGTAAAATAGTAACTATAATATATAATATATAACTCTTTGTTACATGATCACAGATATCTGAACATTATCTTGTTTGTTACTATTTCTTGTTATGCTTTTGCTGACAGAAAATCCAACTAGTTATAAACTATTAATAAGTCCTTCTTTTAAGGTGTAGCTCTAAGAATTAGAAACAAAAATAAACTTTTTTCCCCCATGCAAAAAGAATGAAATTATGTCCTATGGAGCAACGTGGATGAAAATGGAAGTCATTATTCTAAATGAACTAACTCAGAAACAGAAAACCAAATATCACATGTTCTCACTTATAAGGGCGGAGTTAAACAATAGGTATATACAGACATAAAGATGGAAATAATAGACACTGGGGACTACATAAGTGGGGAGGGTGGGAATAGGGTGAGGAAGAATTTTCTTTTGGGTGCAATGTTTAATATTTGGGTGAGCCGGGTGCAGTGGCTAACACCTGTAATTCAGACACTTTGGTAGGCAAAGGTGGGAGGATTTCTTGAGCTCAGAAGTTTGAGACCAACCCAGGCAACATAATGGGACCCTGTCTCTATAAAAAAATACAAAAATTAGCTGGGCATGGTGGCAGGCACCTGTAGTCCCAGCTACTCAGGAGGCTAAGGTGGGAGGATCCTTGAGCCCAGGAGGTCAAGGCTGCAGTAAGCCATGATCATGCCCCTGCCCACCAGCCTGGGTGACAGAGCTAGACCATCTCAAAAGAAAAAACAATTGGGGTGATGGGTACACTAGTTCAATCTCCACCATTGTCAATATATACCCATGTAACAGACGTGCACATATACCCCCGGATCTAAAATTAAAAAAAAAAATTAAAAACAAATACATTGTTTTCTTGATTCTAGAATTCTCCTTCCCTGGTGGAAAGACTGAGGGATATGTCATGATTTTCAGAGAAGTACAAGGTAATGGCAAAATGCACGAGTTACTTTTACTCTCAGATAGATCCAAGAAAAGGGGAGCAATCAGAAGTAAGCATGAACCAGAGAATTAAGGGAGGTCCTCAGAGAAGAGTGTGATTAGGTCAGCATAAACCAGGATGAGGTCCAGAAGGTATTGAATATCAGAGATAAATTCAGTGCCTATAGAGACAAGAGTATAGGGTGTTAATAACAGTAGTTCAAAGAGGCAAGAAATCTGTCCTAGGAAAAACACCGCCTAAGATGGAGCTGCCAATGGTTAGGGATGTGTTGCTGAGGAAACCTGGACTCTTTTCTTCTGGGAAGCCCAGGCTGAGAGATTTCTAACCTGAACTACTTTGACCACTTGTTTACATGAATGACTCAAAAAATGGCTACTTAACTATATATGTATATGTAGTTTTATGTAACTATATGTGTATAGACATACATATACGTTCATACATATACATATACACAGAGTAGATAGATAGATATCACTTTGGTCACCCATGTCACATAAAACTATTATGTGAACCCCTAATCAGTCACTACTCTGTAAAAATCGGCTTTCTTTAAAGATTCTCTATGTGAGTACATTTCCTAAGTCCTATTGAAAGAATTACTATGTGGGAATGGGCGTGACCATTATGCCTTTTCTACAGGACATTAATGTCATGATTACAAAGAGTGAAAACAAAATAACACAATAACTACAACAATGAAAACAGCACGGCTTTATCTGATTGTATTACCCTAAGGCTGGCATAACAACATACTGGACGCCAGGTTACTTAAAACAACAGAAAATTATTGCCTTACATTTCTGAAGATAGAAGTCCCAAATTAAGTATCAACAGGGTCATGCTCTCTCTGAAACCAGTCAGGAAGAATCCTTCCTTGCCTCCTGTTAGCTTTTGTAGGGTTTTTGTTTCTTTTTTAGCCATCCTTGGTGTTTTTTGGCTTGCATTTGCAACAGTTCAACATACCTGTCATCACATGGCATTCTCCTTGTGTGTCTGTCTCCAAATTTTCCTTTTCTTATAAGAACACCAATTGTAAGGTGTTAGGGAACCATTCTACTCCAATGTGACTTCATCTTCTTGAATTATGACTGATTAAACTTCGGTAACCCTACTTCCAAATAAGGTCACATTCTGAGGGACAAGGGGCAAAATTTCAACATATTTGTGGGAGGGTCTCATATCAATCAAGTCAAGGTAGATTATACTGCAGTAACAAAGTCCAAAATATATGTGGCTTGCAGTAACAAAGACTTACATTCAATTCATGCTAGATGATATTGTTCTGCTTATCAGAGTCACTCAAGGATCCAGATTATCAGGGAAGTAATAATTTCAAAAGTTTTCAGTCACTGTGCCAGAGAGAAAAGAGCACACTACCAGGTCTCATAGGTAACCATTGAGTGTTTATGGGCCTAAGGGAGCCAGAAACTGTAGGATCAGAACACCAGTGATTTCAGATGCCTTCAGCCATAAGAAACACAAAATCCAGCTAACATTGACCTAAACTTTAAGGTCTTTTTTTGTAACTTAGCAAGCTATTGAGTGATTAGAAGTCAAAGAGTTGATTTGTTGACTTATTGATGCCACCAAGAACCCAGGACAGGAGGATTGCTTGGGTTGCAGTGAGCTATGATTGTGTCAGTGCTCTCCAGCCTGGGTGATGGAGCAAGACCCCATTTCTGCTAAATTAAACATTAAATAAATACAAAGAGCCCAGGAGTCAACCTCTCTCTCTCTTCTCCCCTTCCCGGAGCTATGTCATATGTCTAGTCCTTAACCATATCACCAACACAGGTGAAACTAGATAACCATAATTAGCATGGACCCATTCTATCTCTTGAGGCCAAGACCTGGCCACCTAAACAAAATTGGATTTTGTTTGCAAGGACAGGGAGAGTTAATTGGTGAATTACTGTAGAGTAGGACTAAAAGTATGCCACAAAAAAAGATGATTTTCAGATTTAGCATTATTTTACATCTCATTCAATGTATGGATATGTGGATAAATAATAATTTTTCTCAACTTAAATGTTTTTGGTGTATTAAAAATAAGTAAAATTTAAACGCTGTCCCTAGTTGGATTATTTGCTTAAGTGTGTTTAACAATTTTTGAGCAAATAACAATAATAATAATTTCTTCCATGTGCATAATATTTTATTATGTATATTCTCACATGCATGTTTTGTTGTCATTTCTCAGAAAAATTATCATAATGAAGGCAGGGAGCAGGAATTATCCTTTGTCTTTATTAAAAATAATAATGAATTATATATATACATATGTGTGTGTGTGTGAATATATATGTATGTATAGGCACTAAGTATAGGACTGAGAACTGAACTTTCTTACTCTCACCAGTGCATTTTCGGCTATCCCCTGGTGCCTCCTGCTCTTCTTGTGCTTTGCCTGTTTTTACATTAATGCACATTCTGAAGAATAAAACCCGCGGGACCAATTAAATAGACCATATGGTTAATCTTTGGATTTCCCTTAGGCCAAACACAACTACAATTACAAAATACTATTTTGGAAATTACTAAAATTTCAAATATGTATTGTGTTTCAAATATATGGGTAAGATTAGATATCAAAGAGTAATA